>NC_000023.11:144475606-144778636 GCF_000001405.40 Homo sapiens
TAAATGGCAAATATATATATATTTATAAAAGGCAAATATATATATATTTATAAAAGGCAAATATATATATATTTATAAAAGGCAAATATATATATTTATAAAAGGTAAATATATATATATTCATAAAAGGTAAATATATATATATTCATAAAAGGTAAATATATATATATTTATAAAAGATCAATATATATATTTATAAAAGATCAATATATATATTTATAAAAGATCAATATATATATTTATAAAAGATAAATATATATATTTATAAAAGATAAAAATATATATATTTATAAAAGATAAAAATATATATATTTATAAAACATAAAAATATATATATTTATAAAACATAAAAATATATATATTTATAAAAGATAAAAATATATATTTACAACAGATAAAAATATATGTTTACAACAGATAAAAATATATGTTTATAACAGATAGAAATATATGTTTATAACAGATAGAAATATATGTTTATAAAAGATAGAAATATATGTTTATAACAGATAGAAATATATGTTTATAAAAGATAAATATATATGTTTATAAAAGATAAATATATATATATTTATAAAAGATAAATATATATATATTTATAAAAGATAAATATATATATATTTATAAAAGATAAATATATTTATTTATAAAAGATAAATATATTTACTTATAAAAGATAAATATATTTATTTATAAAAGATACATATATAAATACATATATTCAGAAAAGATACATATATAAATACATATATTCAGAAAAGATGCATATATAAATAGATATATTCAGGAAAGGTACATATATAAATAGATATATTCAGGAAAGGTACATATATAAATAGATATATTTCAGGAAAGATAAATATATAAATAGATATATTCAGGAAAGATAAATATATAAATAGATATGTTCAGGAAAGATAAATATATAAATAGATATGTTCAGGAAAGTTAAATATATAAATAGATATGTTCAGGAAAGATAAATATATAAATAGATATGTTCAGGAAAGATAAATATATAAATAGATATATTCATGAAAGATAAATATATAAATAGATATATTCAGGAAAGATAAACATATAAATAGATATATTCAGGAAAGATAAACATATGAATATATATTTAGAAAAGATAAACATGAATATATATTTAGAAAAGATAAACAAATGAATATATATTTATAGAAGATAAATATATGAATATGTACATTTATAGAAGATAAATATATGAATATGTACATATATAGAAGATAAATATATGAATATGTACATATATAGAAGATAAATATATGAATATGTACATATATCTGTAGAAGATAAATATATGAATATGTACATATATTTGTAGAAGATAAATATATGAATATATACATATATTTATTGAAGGTAAATATATAAATATATACATATATTTATAGAAGATAAATATGTATATATATTTATAAAAGATAAATATGTATACATATATTTATAAAGGATAAATATATATACATATATTTATAAAAGATAAATATGTATACATGTATTTATAAAAGATAAATATGTATACATGTATTTATAAAAGATAAATATGTATACATGTATTTATAAAAGATAAATATGTATACATGTATTTATAAAAGATAAACATGTATACATATATTTATAAAAGATAAACATGTATACATATATTTATAAAAGATAAACATGTATACATATATTTATAAAAGATAAACATGTATACCTATATTTATAAAAGATAAACATGTATACATATATTTATAAAATATAAATATATATAAATTTACAAATAAATGCAAATATACAACATATATTGTATATAAATACAAGCCTAAAATCTTCACTTTCAGGTCCTTCTCAGAAAATGTTTGCCGACCCCTGCCTTAGCGCCATAAGCACAGTCTTCCGTACCAACACTGTCCTATAACTTTCTCTGGTGATAAAATGTTCTACAGTCTATGCTATCCAATAAGTTAGCCAATGGTCATATGTGTCTATTGGATACTTAATGTATTGAAAAAGTGTAATTTTAGTTTAATTAATTCAAATTTTAATTGCTACATGTAGTTAGTGGTTATTGTATTAAACAGCGCAGTCCTATGTTTTTCCAGAAGATTTAATGTTTTTGCCTTTCCAAATTAAATCTCTAATCCAGCAGGATAGATTTTTTTATGTGATATCACAGGTGAAATTTCATTTTCTCATTAATTTTCCCAGTCATTTTCTTATCATTGTACAAATACAGTAATATACATGTAGCACACTAGGGTAGATGTGTGTGATAGCTGGAGGCTAGAGTCCGGTGGCAGCTTCAGAAAATCATTATCACCTGAGTTTTTTTAAAAAATTATCACTTACATAGTACTTACCATGCACTAATTTTACTTCTAAGCACTCTACAAAAATTACAGATGCTTTTCAACTTATGATAGGGCCATGTCCTGATAAACTCATTATATATAAAAAATATCATGAGAAGAAAATGTATTTAATTCTGACAGTGCAGAAGATGGTCCCCAAATTACCATGGTTCAAATTACAATTTTTGACTGTGATTACATGAAAGTGATATGCGTTCAATAGAAAACATAGCCCCATTGTAAGTTATAGTCCTCCTTGACTTATGATGGGGTTGCCTGCAGATGAGCCCATCACAAATTAAAACATCGTAAGTATTCAGTTTATCATTGATGGGCATTTAGGTTGATTCCATGACTTTGCTATTGTGAATAGTGCTGCAATGAACATATGCATGTATATATCTTTATAATAGAATGATTTATATTCCTTTGGGTATATACCCAGTAATGGGATTGCTGGGTCAAATGGTATTTCTGCCTCTAGGTCTTTGAGGAATTGCCACAATATCTTCCACAATGGTTGAACTAATGTATACTCCCACCAGCAGTATAAAAGCGCTCCTTTGTCTCTGCAACCTCGCCAGCATCTGTTGTTTTTTGACTTTTTAATAATAGCCCTCCTGATTGGCATGAGATGGTATCTCATTGTGGTTTTGATTTGCATTTCTCTAATCATCAGTGATGTTGAGCTTTTTTTCATGTGTTTTTTGGCCACATGTGTGTCTTCTTAGAGAAAGTGTGGTACACATACACCACAAAATACTATGCAGCCATAAAAAGGAATGCGATCATTTCCTTTGCAGGGACATGGATGAAACTGGAAGCCATTATATTCAGCAAACTAATGCAGGAACAGAAAAACAAACACCACGTGTTCTCTCTTATAAATGGAAGCTGAGTGATGAAAACACATGGACACATGGGAGGGGGAGAAACACACACTGTGGGGGGCCTGTTGGTTGGGGTAGAAGGGGTGGGGGAGGGAGAGCATCAGGAAGAATTAGCTAATGGAGGACGGGTTTAATACCTAGGTGATGGGATGATCCGTGCAGAAAAATACCATGGCACATGTTTACCTATGTAACAAGCCTGCAGATGTACCCATGAACTTAAAGTTGAAGAAAAAAAAGGATTTAAATAGAAGCAAAAAAGATTTTAATAAGTAAAATGATCATAAGATGAACGACCGTAAGTCAGCAATTGGATGTAAATTAATTCTCACAGTAACACTATTATTAGCCATACTTTTCACACGGGGAAACTAAGACACAATGAGAATATCTAAGAACCTATAGATAGTAAGTTCCAGAAGCAGGATTTGGACCCAGGCAGTTTGGCACCAAAGTTCATTCTCTTAAATCACTACCCTACACTGGCTTAGCAAATAATGACTTCCCTTCCAAAATATATTCATTTAATTTATTTACATTTTTCTTTATTGTCTAATTGCACGGGTTTAGTCCTCTAGTAACTATATTAATGAGACTCCTTCTTGTCTTATGCCAGATTTTAAATGGAATGTTATTATAGTATGACATTTGTTTTATTTTCGTCAATATACTTTATCAAGTAAAGGACTTCAATTTTCTGTTTGCTAACATTTTCATCATGAACTATGAAATTCATGAAGTTGAAATTGAAATTTTTAAGCAAAAGCTTTTTCTGCGTCTGTTGAAATTATCATATGATGCTTCAACTTTAATCTCTTAATTGATGAATTACAGTAATCATTTTTCTAATATGAATGCAGTCTTGCCTTCTTGGAATAAACATAATCTTACCATAATGCTGCATGCACATAAATATTAATATATATGATATATATGTGAATATAGGTGGGGAAGAAAGAACTGAGAAAGGGAGGGGCACAGAGGGAATATGAGTTGGAGTTGTTTGCAGTTTTTTAAAGATTTTAGCATTCATGTTTATGACAAATACCAGCATAAAACTATCTCTTGTTATAATGTCCTTGTCTGGTTTTGTTATCAACATTATATGAGCCTAAATAAATCAGTTGAAGGGTACTATATTTTATTCTCTGAAAGTGTGTATGATTAAAAGTATTTGTTCATTGTTTGAGGGATTTTTATTCAATTTTATTTATTTATTTATTACCTTTTATTTTAGGTGCAGGGGTACATGTGAAAGTTTGTTACATAGCGAACTTGTGTCACGGGGGTTTGTTTTACAGATTATTTCATTACCCAGATATTTAGGCCAGTACCCAATAGTGATCTTTTCTGCTCCTCTCCCTCCTCCCACCCTCCACCTAAAGTACACCCCAGTGTTTGTTGTTCTCTTCTTTGTGTTCATAAGTTCTCATCATTTAGCTCCTGTGTATAAGTGAGAACATGCAGTATTGGATTTCTGTTCCTGTATTTGTTTGCTAAGGATAACAGCCTCTAGCTCCATCCCTGTTCCCACAAAAGACATGATCTCATTGTGTTTTATGGCTGCCTAGTATTCCATGGTGTATATGTGGCACATTTTGTTTATCCAATATGTCATTGATGGGCATTTAGGTTGATTCCATATCTTTGCTATTGTGAATAGTGCTGCAATGAACATTTTTGTGCATGTGTCTTTATGGTAGAATGATTTATGTTCCTCTAGGTATATACCCAGTAATGGGATTGCCGGGTTGAATAGTAGTTCTCTTTTTAGCCTTTTGAAGAATTGTCACACTGATTTCCACAATAGTTCAACTAATTTACACTCCCACCAACAGTGTATAAGTGTTCCTTATTATCCATAAACCTCATCAGTATCTGTTATTTTTGACTTTTGAATAGTAGCCATTATGACTTGTGTGAGATGGTATCTCAGGGTGGTTTTGATTTGCATTTCTCTAATGATGAGTGACATTGAACTATTTTTCGTATGCTTTTTGGCCACATGTAAGTCTTCTTTTGAAACATGTCTGTTCATGCCCTTTGCCTACTTTTTTATTGACCTTTGAGTGCATTTATTGCATATAAATTAACCTCAAAAATGTTTTTAAGAAACTCTAAACGGCCACACAGAATCAAAAATTGTAATACTTCAGGTTCTGTTTCTTATCTTTACAAGTATGGTGCAATCATCATTTATTTGAAATCTATCATTTAAATGAAAGAATATGTAGTACTACAGTGGGTGGAGACACTTGAGCTGATACTGTGTATGCTGGGAGACACCCATATAGCAGGGAGTTCTCTGAATTACTTTCCATGTGGAATAAAATTATTTGTTTTTCTCTCTTAAATTTGCTTAAGTTCCTTATAGATATTAGATATTTGATATTAGACCTTTTCGGATGCATGGTTTGCAAAACTTTTCTCCCATTTCTAAGGTGTCTGTTTACTATGTTGATAGTTTATATTGCTGTAAGAAGTATTTAATTAGATCCTATTTGTCAATTTTTGCTTTTGCTGCCATTGCTTTTGGTGTCTTTATCATGAAATCTTTACCCATTCCTATGTCCAGTATGTTATTGCCTAGGTTATCTTCCAGGGTTTTTATAGTTTTGGATTTTACACTGAAGTCTTTAATTTGAGTTGATTTTTGTATATAATGTAAGGAAGGGGTCCAACTTCAGTTTTCTGCATAAGATTAGCCAGTTATCCCAACGCCATTTATTGAATAGGGAGTCTTTTTCCCATCGTTTTTGTCAGCTTTGTAGATGATCAGATGGTCATAGGTGTGCAGCATTATTTCTGGGCTCTTGATTCTGTTCCATTGGTCTATGTGCCTGTTTTCGTACCAGTAACATGCTGTTTTGGTTACCGTAGCCCTGTGGTGTAGTTCAAAGTCAGGTAACGTGATGCCTCCAGCTTTGTTCTTTTTGCTTAGGATTGCCTGGGCTATTTGGGGTCTTTTTTGGTCCCATATGAATTTTACAGTAATTTTTTCCAGTTCTGTGAAAAATGTCCTTGGTAGTTTCACAAAAATAACATTGAATCTGTAGATTGCTTTGGGAGGTATGGCCATTTTAGTGATATGATTCTCTCTATCCATGAGCATGCGATGTTTTTCCACTTGTTTGTTCCATCTCTGATTACTTTGAGCAGTGTTTTGTAAATCTTATTGTAGAGATCTTTTACCTCCCTGGTTGGCTCATTCAGCTGATAACAACTTCAGCAGTTTCAGGATACAAAATCAATGTACAACCATCACTAGCATTCCTATGCAACAACAGCCAAGCCAAGGCCCAAATCAGGAAGGCAATCCCATTCACAACTGACACAAACAGAATAAAATACCTAGGAATACAGCTAACCAGAGATGTGATTAATTTTTGAAAACAAATTATCCTAAAGTTTTGTTTGCATAAAAATTATAATGAATTCACTCTTACTTTTAAGAGATACTTTCTAAATACATGATTATTGGCGATTTCCTGGCTCCCATCATTGCAGTTGTCATCTTAACTCTAATTGTTAGTCTTTTTAGATGGCCTATATGATTTATCTGGCTGATTTTAATATTAATTCTTAGTTTTAGTGTTTTTCAAGATTATCTATATTGTGCTTAGATTTGGACTTTATCTTATTCATCCTGTTTTGGATTTGTTGGGGATTCCTAGTTTGGAGATTTATTTCTTTCCTCAATTGTGTAAAATATTTAGCTATTAACTCATTGAAAATTTCTTATCCTCCTTTTTTTTCTATTCCATCCCTCTAGTGTTTTGATCAGATGCCTTTTAATCTTTTTCAGTCTGTCATGCATTATTTTAGACGTTTATTCATACTTTCCATCTCTTAGTTTCTGTGTGCTAAATTCTGAGTAATTTCAGATACACTAGAAAGTTTGCCAATTCTTTTCAGCTATGTTCAACATGCTGTTTAATCAACATGAAGCTTTATTTTAAACTTGACACCAAGTTTTAATTAAGTGACATTTTTAACTTCTAGAAAGATCTATTTTATGCTCTGTCAAATTTTCCTAGTTAAATATGATGGTTTCTTATTTCTTACTCATGCTTAAATACCTTCTTTTATTTCTCTAGACATGTTAAATATACTAACTCATTTTATAATATTTTTCTGATAATTCCAGTGTTCAAAGTCTTTGCTATTTGGTTGAATTTGACAATCGCGATGTTTCTGTTGCCATTGTCTCACAGATTTTAGTTTGTTTGTTTGTCTGTATTTTGTATGACTTTGATTACTAACTAAACATTAAGTATGTAAATATATCTATGAAACAATGACTTAAGAATCAAATTAAAGGAATTCACTTCTTTGATAGGTGAAATGACATAAAATCTATGATTGCTTTGACAGATATAAAGAGGTATTTTTTAACATTTATCAACCATTCTAGATTTCTTACTTTTAACGAAGTAGTAAAAAAGAATAAAAAAAAATTTCTAAATAATGAAATGATGTGCATCTTCAACAAAATATCACACAGGTAATGATACAGGGTGATGTATGCCTTTAAAACTTTATTGTTTAAAAAAGCATGTGTTTCACAGATGTAGGAAAACAGGCTTTCCAGGATGTTAGGAAGCTAGAAAGAAGTACTTCTTAAGTACTTTTGGGTATAAACTCCATTTGTCTTCCTAGGTAGGGATGCGACTTCACTAATACTGAGTTTTGGCCATCACCAGGGAAAACGTACTGTTTGCAAACATCCCCTTAATTGGAAATACTAAGCAAAGAGGCTGTATAAATTTTTCTTGAATAGTTATGTGAGCCATGAATATATGAAAACTATGGAACAACTCAAAATTAAGCTTTTTTTTTTTAAGCTGGTAAGACTCTACCTGTTTCAGACAGCATCATCAAAACCTGGGTAACACTCAGTGGAAGACTGGGAGCCAAGAGCTATTGTACTGTGATAATTTGTGTCTTTTAGGTTTCTGTGTTTTTAGCTACATTAGTCTGGAAGTTACAGTGAAGTGTGAATGGAGGTGTTAGACTTTTCCAATCAATCAATAATACATCTGAAATCATACAATAGGACACTAATACCAGGTGCTGATTGGTATCAGCTGAGTCAAAAACAGTACTATGCTCAGTTTGGAAAATAATATGTATTAAACACATCGTCTTCTTGGAAATTTAGAATTACAATGGATAAGTAGAAGTTCTGTGATTTCTAGCAATAAAGCAAATAACTTCGTTTAGAGCAGGGGTTAGCAAACTCTTTTTTTTTTTTTTTTTTTTGATGTATAAGGGCCAGATAGTAAATATTTTTAACTTTGTAGCCCATATGTCTCTGTTGCATCGAATCAATTCTACATTTGTTGTGGGAAGCAACCATAGATAATACTTCAACAGTTATAGCTGTGTTTCAATAAAACTTTATTTACAAAGACAGGCAGAGGGCTGTATATGGCCCAGGTACCATATACAAGAGTAATTGACCATTTTCTACACTAATTTGATCACAGATTTTTTTTAACCCAAATCTCAATTAATAACCAAATATTTTTAAATAAAAAGAAACTAAAATGATGGATAAATCTTACTAGATAAGCAAAGATAATTATGTTTAAATGTGATTTTCTATTTTTTGGCTTTATATAAATCTTACAGAAGATTTATTACATATTATTGAAAAATATCAAGATAGTAGGATAGCAAAATGAATTTTTAAACTGTTGTTTTCTATTACACATGGACTTTAACAATATCCTGTCTTGTGATTATCGTAATGTTATGGAGAATCAGTTGAAAGGCATGGTATCCAGATCTGGGGATAACCAAACAGAAAATATTAAAACTACGATTACAAATTAAACAGATATTGTAAACTTTATGTATTTTCTAATTTTTTCTGTGTTAAACACTTTTTACCTTTTGTCAAAATTTCCAAGTCAAATATGGTAGTTTCTAATTTTTTACTCTTACTTCAATATCCTGTTTTATTTCTCTAAACATGTTAAATATTCTCACTCATTTCCGTGAGTAGATTTTTAAAAAATACTTATTTCCATAAGCGAGAATTTTTAAAAAAAATTCTGTGATGAAATAAAGCAGGAAATGGTCAACTATTCTAACTTATGGCACATAGGCTATATGCAGTTCTTGGCTTGTGTTTTTAAATAAAGTTTTATGGAAACACAGCCATGCCTATTTGTTGAAGTATTTTCTATAGATGCTTCTCACAACAAATGCAGAATTGATTGGATGCATCAGAGAACTACAGGCTGCAAAGTCGAGAATATTTCCTATCAGGCTGTGAAATGAAAATAAATCTCTGGACTCCCAAATCACTAAGCCAAATGGAAAAGTCAAGCTGGGAAATGCTTAGGGCAAACCTGATTCCCATTCTATTCCAAAAAAAGAGAAAATATCTACTAATATAAAAAAGCTACATATCTCCCTCACTATTTGACCACAAGGAAATTCCTTGTGGGCACAAAAACAAACAGAACTCAAAGTCATCCATCTGCTCATGTGAGACAAATGCATATGTGATTGCTTCCTTTTTGCTATTGTTTCACTAAGCCAGACTAAAACGAAAATGACTATTCCTCGAAATTGCCTGTTCACTGAAAGGCTAATCAGAAACTCAAAAGAATGCAACTATTTGTCTCTTATCTACCTATGACCTAAAATGAAAATGACTATTCCTCGAAATTGCCTGTTCACTGAAAGGCTAATCAGAAACTCAAAAGAATGCAACTATTTGTCTCTTATCTACCTATGACCTGGAAGCCCCCTCCCTGCTTTGAGTTGTTCTGCCTTTCTGGACTGATCCAATGTACATCTTACATATATTTAGCGATGTTTCCTGTCTCCCTAAAATGTGTAAAATGAAACTGTGCTTCAGCCACCTTGGCTACTTTACGTCAGGACATCCTGAGGCTGTGTCACAGGCATGAGTGTGTCCTTAACCTTGGCAAAATAAACTTTCTTAATTGCCTGAGAACTGTCTCAGATACCTAGGGTTCACAGGGCCTTTGTAGAAAAAAAAATTGACATAACATGGGTCCAAGAACTGAAAAGCCAACTCTGTAGCTGACACAAGGAGGTATTTAACTAATATTTGATAAATGTTGACAACATGGCTACCAAATCACATATGTGGCATCCTGTAGCCCATACCTCATAATTACCTTTTTGTCATTTGTTAGGAATAACGCTCAAAATCCTGAGGAAATTGAACGCTCGAACAAAGGATTCTTAGCAAAGCAATTTTACTTCTGCGCAGAGAGGTGCCTCCTTGGCCAGTCACCGTGAGAGCACATCTGAACAAAGGGGCACGAGAGCCTTTATTCCTGACGCAAGTCCTGCCCCTGCACCCTTTCCCTATTGGCTGGGGTCGGGTGGTACAATTTAAACTGATCCCGGTTGGCTAAACATTTGATTTTTTTTTTTTAAATAAGGTGGGCACGTAAAGGAAAGCAGAGAGGAAAGGGGAAGGGGTGGCTGTAATGAGCTAGAAAGTTATAGTCCTCTTTGCAAATAAGGAAAGGAATGTGAGCCGGTACTGGTAACGCCTGGTACTGTGGCGTGCCTGGGCATCTATCTAACAAAGGCAAAAAGAAAAAAAAGGAGAAAAAGGGAAAAAGGTGGGGGGGGGGGGTACTACGGATTAAAGAATAAAAGATTGATCAGGTTATTTGAAGAGAAACCTCATCATATCCCACATCATTGTATTTGATACTTTAGTATTATCGAGCAATCTATCAGTGAATCCTAAAAAAGGTATTATGAACAAATTATGCAGATTTTCTCTTTCTACTGTCTAAATGTAATAAAAGTGTTTTCATTCTTTTGTTTGATAGGTATATCCTAACTGTATAATTGGCCCTTCATTTCTTAAATATTATCTCAAAATGGGGCATTCCTGAAGATATTAAGGAAAATATTTATATGGAAGAGAATAGGATTCACCTTTGGTTTAATCCCTGTGTGGATGCAAACAAATCACTTTACTTCTCCAACCGTCTGTTTAATCACTGGTAAAATAGAATAATTAAACATTTTTCTCAAGGTTATTATGATAATTACATGATATCATTTATGTGGAAATCTGAGTAGAGTTCCTAGCTCTTAGCAGGCATCTGAGAAAGGATAGTTGCATCTGAAGGAGAAATGACTCCCTATTTTATTAACTTTATTCATCATCACTTATTCCAAATGTGTTTGGAAAGCAGATTTCATCCTTTAGAAGGCTCACTTACGGGAATCAACAGAAAAATAAAAATACATATTATTCACATTTCAAAACAAGATATGGTAAGAATTCACCACATGGTTTGGAAGTAGTTTCTACCACAGAGTAGTGTGGTAATAGAGTTCTAAATAGTGTAGTAATTGCAAGATATCATTATTCACTCTCATGACAATTTCAGAGCAACAGCTTGGTAAAGGCCGCACTTGCATTACTAATAGTTCTAAGACTTTGCTCATTTTAAAAGCATTCAATCAGGAAAACCTTCCTTTCCACCAATGATTTCCAATCATAAGCCTCTCTCAGCAGGCTGTAATGCATTTCTCATTATGATGCTCTATCCCACCTGGCGTGCCGCTCAGCTACCCCTCACGATTTTACTTCAGATTAGAAATACACTACCTCTATTGTACAGACTTTCAAATATCAGAAAAGAAACCTAATTTGGGTCTACACAGAATGCCAAATCACTACATAATAATGTATCAAAAGACTATGTGATACCAAAATATTAATTTGAATCAAACTTACTTTTAAAAAATAGCTGTCATAATGTTTGTACGAGTCTATTCAAAGTCTTATTTAATTTTTTAAAAAGATAGAAACTCTGAACTACATCACGAGATGATTTTTGGCAATCACTGTCTAACATAAGCAAAGGTATCTGAATATGTCCATCGTGGAATCTGGTTTGCTGCCTATACACCTCTATACATAGCAGTTTCCATTAGGGAATCTGCCTTATTCTTTAAATGGCCCCAGATGACATAATCTAATTCTAAGCTCCAGTTTTCATTAGTGTGCCATAGTCTCAAGCATTAATACCTACCTCATTTAATCGCATTCATGTATACTTTTCTAGTCTGACTTTAATAATACCAACTTTAAGATTTTCTTTTTTGCAGTATTATAAATATCATGCCTGGGAGAAGTATATTCTAGGATTTCAGTCAGCAAGCTTAGAGGAAAGGTTGGCTGATCAATTAGCTATTCCTCCAGCAACTCACAGACATCCAAGTTTTGGCTTTTGTTTTACTGTTCGTGTACCTGAATCACCCTTCTTTTCCTTTTTCCCTGAAAAACTTGTTTCTTTTTTTCACTTAAGCCGCCTCTGTCTTTCCCACAGCAATGGCCTCTGTAAGTTGTTTTATTTTATCCTTCACTAGACCAAAAATTCTTCTAAGGCAGAGACGTATCATTTATTTTTTTCTTCTATACTTTGCACATTAGGAAGCGGGGAGCTGAGGTGCTACATAAGGATTTGCTTAAATTAGAAGAATGTATTGTGAATCATAAAGTAAATATTCACACCTCATTAGAATCCGAAGACCTAATGCCTTTCACTTTCCTTCCAAGATATCTACAACTGGCCTTTATCCTCCACTTTGCCATGTATTTAATAGCATTGAGCATTTCTATGATGTTTTGTCACCTGTTTTCTAATTCTAGTTTCCATGCTCCCCAAGTCATATTTACATAACTGTTCACTCCACCTTTCCCTTGGGAATTTTATAGACCTGATGGTTTTTGAGTCATGTCTGAGTTCAAAGCTCAGTTCCCATCCTCAATAATCATGTGATCATAGGCAACCCACTAACTCATATTTTTCACTGACCATAAAAAAACGTATCTTTGCACACCTGTTTAACACCACAGTTATAACTTCCTCAAAAACATAGGTATGTTTTAGTCTCCCACAGCTAGGATCATGTCTGATACAGGTGTGCTCTGAGGGATGAATTCATTCATTCCTTTATTTATTCTCTCATCCATTCATTGTATTTTGTTTGAGAACACTTTTATTTTACTTCGGTTATAGCATCTTGAAGTGAGGCAGTCCTGGGATCAGTTTCTGGCTTTCTCACTTACTACCTGTGCCTTTTCATATTTGGTTTTTATTTTTTAACATGTCCAACTTTCCCACTTGATTATGGACTCCTTAAGGGCAAGGAATGTATATTATTTATCTTTATGTTGTTCTCCTTCATTGGTTGTCACGATGTTTCAAAATTTGAGTTTGTTTGTTAGTTTTTTGAGATTTTTATTTGTTTATTTTTAAGACTTCAGATTATTCTAAGGAAATTCAGGCATGAGAATGAGTGATCTGTAGTGAAAAGATTTTAGTTTGTAAAATCAGATAGGGTTTGGAAAAATCCCACCTCTAGCCTCCACCTACCTGGGGAACTTTAAACTAGATTCTTAAATATTCTGAGCCTCAGATTCCAAATGGTAAACTATAGGGTGACAAATTAATGCTGGTTCATCCCAAAATTTTCTGGTATAGCTGTGAAAAGCCTCACATCCGAGGAAATGCCTCAGTTCCAGGAAATCCAGGATGGTTTGTCACCCCTAGTACGGTAAGAGTCCTAGATCATAGACTTAGTTTATTATTATTGTTATTAATATTGAGACAGGGTCTAGTTCTGTCACCCAGGCTGGAGTACAGTGATGTGATCTTGGCTCACTGTAACCTCTGCTTCCTGGACTCAAGTGATTCTCCAGCCTCAGCCCCCCATGTAGCTGGGACTACAGGCGCGAGCCACCAATACCTGGTGAATTTCTGTATTTTTTGCAGAGTTGGGTTTCTACACATTGCCCAGGCTGGTCTAGAACTCCTGAGCTCAAAGTGATCCGCCCGCCTCAGCCTCCCGAAGTGCTGGGATTACAGGCGTGAGCAACTGCACCCGGCCAAGTTAGTATATTATTAAGAAATGTTTTCAAAGTGTCCAGCAGAGAGCCTAGCACATGGTATATCCCTATCCTAGACCATTTATTTGCGCTCCAAACACACAAATTAATCTCTACTGTTGATCTTAACTCCTAGATATCTTAAAAACTCCTCAAACTCAGAAGTGGATACCAAACTATAATATTACACATTGTATGTATCCAAGTCCCAGTAGTTACAGATGACTCCTTGGAAAGGGATAAACAGAAAGACTATTTACAAATATTGTGGTCAGGTTTATAGAAACCAACAAGGGATCTTGAACCACCCTAGCACAATAAGAGTGAGAAGATGTGGCCATTCATAGGCCCGAAGGGGACAGGAGAAAACGACATAACTGGAGTCTTTAGCCAATAATAGCTTAGGAGTGAACTACCCTACAACAACAGTGGCGTTATGTCATAGGAATAAAACCGCTAATAGACTGTGGACAAGCAAGAAGTGCAAGGGAAATAATACATCAGTGTCTCTCTCCAACTGCCCAGTGATCTCCTGCCGGAGGCTCTCATTGGCCAAATACATCAAGATACCAGACAGCAAGGAGGATGAGTCTATGCAGTCGATAACGGCAGCATCCCAGGGCAGAAATAGGTTGGAGAAGAGAAAAGAAAAAAATCAAGAAAGGTAAATGGAAGGTATCTACCATATCTACAAAAACCTAGTCCTCTTCCAAAGTACCCTATCTTGAGGGAAGAGAGAGACCCTCTCATATTGTTTTACACTCAGAAAAGGAAAGAGAAGCAAAACTAAAGACAGGTAGCCCGGCCCCTAGGAACCAGACCCGAAACGAGGCCTGGGCCTGCCTGACCTAAGCCTGGTAGCTAAAATTCGACCCCTGACCTAGCAACTGTTGCTATCTATAGATTCCAAACATTGGATGGAAGGACATTGTGACACTTCCCGTTCTGTTCTGTTTCACTCTGACCACCGGTGCTCGCAGCCCCTGTCACGTACCCCCTGGCTTGCTCAATCGATCACGACCCTCTCATGCGGATCCCCTTAGAGTTGTGAGCCCTTAAAAAGGACAGAAGCTGAGCACCTGAGGAGCTGGGATTTTAAGACGCTAGCCTGCAGATGCTCCCAGCTGATTAAAGCCACTCCCTTCACCATCTCGATGTCTGAGGGGTTTTGTCCGTGGCTCGTCCTGCTACAATCTCAAGAATCAATCCTATTCGCCATGAAGTTGCAGAAGCTATGTCCCTGGCACTTACCCTCAACAACTGTTTCGTCATCATTCCCCACACACAATTCAGGAGAAAGTTCTTAATTTTACTTTCAAAATTATTATAGAATCAGTTCACTTTTCTCCATCTCCACCACCACCATTGCCAAGCTATCCTTACATTTCGCCTTGATGATTCTATGAGCTTCTTAACTCATCTGCCTGTTCCTGCTCTGGACTCCTTCCAATATGTTCTCTGAGGAATGAGGAATGCTGAGAGATAAGGTGAACAAGATAGGTCCTGAGGTGCATTGTACACAAAGGAGAACCTCGGCACTGATCAGAGAAATTGACTGTGTATTAATTGTAACACACTGTGTGTACCACATTCTGTTATTACTTACACATTAGTGTTATTACTAACACATACTTAAAATAAGTAACACATTCTATGTAACACATTATGTTATTACTTACACATTCTGCAATTGACAGTTTACTTACTGATCTTTACCATTATGGTTTAAGGCTCGAAGGCAATTATCATGTCTTGTTCATCATCATATTCTCAGCACTTAGCCTAGTACCTGACATACGGTAGATGTTCAATAAATATTTATTAAATATTCATATTGCTGGCTCAGCATTGTAGTCATTAAAATCTCACAACAAGGAGATACTTCAGACTCCAGTAATAAATGTTTTCATTGTTTCTGCAGCAACCACGCTCAAAATCTCTGGGAGCACCACTTGCTGTAACTTCCCAGTAAAGTCTAAACTTATAGTACGTTGCAGTACTCAGGGTATAAGGGAATCTGTCTTTCGGCGGCTAGTCTTATTTCCTAGATATTTTGTATACATTCCTTTGTGTATGTATGTGTGAGTGTGTGCGCGAGAGAAATAGACAGTGAGGGAGAGAGGAGGAGGAGAAAAGGGAGTAGTAATAGTAGAAGAGTCATGACAAACATTCACTGAGCATTTATTATGTGCCTGGCTAAGCACTTCGAATACGTTATCCCATATAATCCTCACAATCACCATACATGAGGCTGAGAGACTTGAAATGACTTATCTCTTACCATATGTAAACTACCATATTACACAGTAAATAAAAGAACGAACCAGATTTTAAATCTAGTTTTATCTGACTTCAGAGCCTAAATTCTTCCCTACATGACAGGGGCTATCAAACTTTCTCGGTAAATGGCCAAATAGTAAATATTTGTGGCTTTGCAGTTTATAAAGTGTCTGTCACAACTACTCAAGTCTGCCACTGTAGCACAAAATCAGTCATAGACAATACATAAATGAATGAGCATGGCTGTGTCCCAATGAAACGATATTTGTAAAATCAGGTAGTGGGCCCGCTTTGACCCCTGAATAACAGTGAGCTGACATCTGCTCTATGTCAGGTGTTTCTCAACCTTGGCTACACCAAAAGATTACCTGAGAAACTTTACAAATGAAAATGTCTAGATTATACACCAGAGCAGTTGATCCTGAAAGGCTTTTGAGACAAATATATCGGAGTTTGACCTTGAAAGTTGCTTTACTGTTCTTAAACATACCGATAGGGAAACCGAAGTCCAAAGAGGGTAAGTAAATTGTTCAAGGCTATCGATATTATGTAAAAGAGGCAATAGGCATGTACCTGTCTGCCTTCACATTTACATTCCATTCCCATGTTCTGTTCCAACAGTGCATGGCAGCAGGTCAGTTGTGAAGGGTTTGTTGCCTTGGGTTGGTTAGACTAATCACTCATAAGCCTTTACCCAGTTAGAAGCAACTTGATTCCACATTCATTATTTCCCCCTTTATTAGTGGAGGGGAGAAACTTAAAAGGTAGTGGGGAATACTGCTATTAATAAAGATGATTTCATTTCAATAATCCATTTTAACTTTCATGTCAAACATTGCATCACATTATTCTGGGTCAAATTTATTATTCCAAATTAATAATTTTTTCTTTCTTTTTTTTTTTTTTTTTTTGAGATGGCATTTTGCTCTTGTCACCCAGGCTGGAGTGCAGTGGTACAATCTCAGCTCATTGCAACCTCCCCCTCCCCGGTTCAAGAGATTCTCCTGCCTCAGCTTCTGGAGTAGTTGAGATTACAGGTGCTCGCCATGATGCCTGGCTTTTTTTTTTTTTTTTTTTTTTTTTTTTTTTTTTTTTAGTAGAGACAGGGTTTCGCCATGTTGGCCGGGCTGGTCTTGAACTCCCGACCTCAGGTGATCCACCTGCCTTGGCCTCTCAAAGTGCTGGGATTACAGGCGTGAGCCACTGTGCCCAGCCCAAATTAACAATTTTTTTTAAGTGTTGAAACTGAATAAAAGTTCTGAATCTCACTCTGAAAGCTCAAAACAAAAATCACAGCTTTTAGTAGGATTAACTATATCATTTCCCTCTTAAATAGAAATCATTTATTTTTCACATGAAACCAATGGTAGTAGATGACAAAGTTTATTCTGTTTGACGTGAGATTATACACATGACCTCTGGATCAGTAAATCTGTAAAGAATGTCACAATCGTGGAATATTAGTATAAATTGCCATGAATTTAAAACTGCTATTAAAATAAAACACTTAAGGGTCCTATTTAAAAAGCTGAAGTATGCTCATCAGATTGAAATTCACAGTATGGAGAACCTGACAGTTTGAGACACTCTAAAATCTACAATATTTGCATGTATAATGTCTAGGTGGACAAAACTGATCTTTTAAAAAACCTTATAAATTCTTATGGTCATTCCCATATTCCTCAAATTCCACTTGAAATTTAATATACACAGGCTGCAAATCATTTTATAATCTCAGATTACATAAAAAAAACAGAAAAATAAGTCTCATGACTAATAGTGTTTTACAAAAATTAGTATCACAAAAATATAACCAAAAATGCTAATTATGTTAACATGCAAGTATATTCATTGGTTTATTTTTCATTCTTAGTGATCTTTAACTGCTTCTTATCATTAAAGAGAAAAAATGTTTATTAATTGGAGTTGTTTTATGGTGATTTGCAAACTGTAATCACTCAATATATATTTACCAAATGGGTTCTTTTGATTTACCAATTGATAATTACACAAAGGCAAACATGGTTTAACGGAGAAAAGCAATATGAAAATACGACTGCTAATTCACAAAATAAGAGCAAATGACCTTTGCGTATTTTCCAAAGCTGCGAGGAACATATAAAGGACATTGCACACCCTCTACTCGTTCAAAATCCCCCTTACTGCTGTAGCTCCAGCAAACAAGCGGCTATTTGCTTAGCACTTCTGAGTAACCAGTGTTTTCAATCATGTGATAAGCGAGAGCAGGGGAATTGGCACATTTGCAAACATACCTTTGTGGAGTCAGAAGGCTTTTAAACCCTTGCTCCTGTAATTGGCCAAATCTGTCTTGAATAAAGGGAAGCAGGTATAAAACTATCAAAAATTCAGGCTACTGGAACATTTCCTTATTTCCATTCACAGTTTTCACATTCTACTTTGTTAGCACCATAAATAAATATATCATTCAACCTGTGTGTCTGAAATGCTTATTCCCCGGTGCCATAAAGAAATAGCACTTGGACACAAATTTAATTTCCTCAGCAAGGCCATTTTTATACTTTCTGCAGAAACGGTACACTCACCAGCAGTTTTGCCACGAGAGTACACCGAACAAAGGAGACGGGGTCATTTATAACCTGACGCGTCCGCCCTACTGCTGTGTCCAGTTTCCATTGGCTGGAACGGGACCTCACATTCTGTATTTGTCCCAATTGGCTAGCAACTTAGAACTTTTTAAAAGAGGCAAAGGCAGAGGAGACCAAAGGAAGGAGGAAGTAACTTGCGGAATGCTGAGAAAGGTAAAAAACAGCTTCACATAAGGAAGAGGCACAGGCTATGACCTAATGCTTGCTTGGACCAGTATAAGCATGCCAGGGCAATGCTTATATTTAGGCTAAATTGTGGGAGCTAAGAACATAAAGTACATTGATTTCTTTATTACAGCTCGCAGATATTTAAGAAGGTTAGCACAGGTCTTTGATTAAATTTTGCTTCTAAGAGAAAGTTACTATTTATTCCTAATTAGATGGGGAGGAAAGTCTTTGAAGAAGAACCTCTACTTTTTACATGAGGTTACTGAAAAGTGTGTGAAATGTGTATGTTTGCTACTAAATCCTATTTTCAATACACAAGTCAAGTGAGCTTTGTAAGAGAACCATAGAGAAACCTTCACTAAGAAGAAAACGCCTGTCAAGGAAAGAACTATACATTCTCTGACTGGGTCATTCTTAATCTTTCGGGGTTATTGGACAACTTTGAAAATATATGAAAAGTCAGACATTCTTTCAAGGGAGAAAAATAGGACAGATAAACACAGTTTTGCATTCAGTTTTAGGAAGTTCAAAGACCCCTCCCCAAAACCTCAGATTTTAAAAAGAAATTCTGCTCTTATTCATTGCTTGTGAGAGCGTATTAGAGCTTAAGGAAGTAAATGTGAAGTAAAGGTAACATCCCATTATATCTACCATCAGGTTAAAAATACCTTTTAATCTTGCTTTGAATAATACTGATTGAATGATTCATTCATTCATGCATTTAACACATGTTATTTAGTATGTATTACGTACAAGTGTCTGTTTTAGGTGCTAGGGAGCAACGAATAAGACAAAAACACAGCTCTAATTAAGTTTATATGTTGAAATGCTATTCAAGCTACCCAGAGTGTATGTATGTAACAAGGTGAAAAAAGAATCTTAAGCTGCTATACCGGCATTATGGTTTTTTTTAAATTTATGTTTATTTGACCAACAACAATTGAAGCTATTTATGGGGTACCATATGATGTTTGATATGCATACATTCCAGAAACAATCAAGTCAATCAACATATTCATCACCTCACTAACCCACCATTTTTCTGTGGTGAGAAAGTTAACAGTCCTGTCTTTTTTAGCAATTCTGAATTACGGTAAACAATGATTGGCAATCCTAGCTGTATATTAGAATCACCTGGGGAACTCTGAATCTCAGTGCTCCAGCTCCATGGCTGAAATGTCACCTGCCTTCTTTCTCCTATCTCACAAACTTTCTATGGAGAGTATTACACTAAGAAATGCTTTGTGTATTCTGTTTGCATTTTATGTGTGCATGTGTGCACACATGATCATGGGCACATGTGCGTGCATGCACGTGTGTGTATGTCTGTGTGTGTATAGTGTTTGAGGATAGGAAAATATCTGAGTTGCACGTAGGTATAGATCTATTCCAGAGGTGGCCCAGCACACGTAGGATGGAGAGATAATCTATGAACAGAATAATTAACTACATGTTGCTGTGATAGGCTGGGGTCCCCTTGGGGAAAATGAGCAAGACTTCCGGAGGACACTGAGTTCTCACAGTATGTATCTTAAATGTTAGGGAGACCCTAAAGGGTATGTGGGTCATACTTACTTTGGAAATATTTGTGCTGGCTGTGGCTATAAAATATTGTAGTACTTTTCACCGGTTTTGAGTACAACTAAAACCAAAGGAATAAGTGGCTGCAGATTTGAAGCAACCCCTATAAAAAGGTAGCACTCATTTAAGTTATATTATACTTATTATTTTTCTATTGTTTTCTTTTTCTTTCTTTCCTTCTTGTTTGTTCTTTCTTCTTGTTTCTTTTCTTCTTTCTTCCTCCCCTCCTTGCTTCCTTCCTTCCCTCTCTCCCTTTTCCTCATACCTTTCCTCCCTTTTTTCTTTCTTGTTTTTACACTTTTAATCAGTTATATATTAATTTGACTAAAGGAGATAAGTAGTACGTCATCTATCCAACCTAGTATACTCAACAATAGACCTTGTAACTAATCAAGAGTGCTACAATTCTGGAACTATGTAAAAAAATACACTAAATTCTGTAAGACCTTTTTGGCCCTGAATATAATCTATGCTGGGAAGTGATGTTTTCACCTGGTTACAAGTATGACTCAAAAAGAAAACAACTCATTCCTGGACCTCCCTCAATGTAAGCTAATTAATTTTCTATGTTTTCTATAGTTCTAAGTTTACTTTGATGAATTGCTCACAAGCTACAAGAATGTAACTCAAAGAAATGGTGCTGAGAGATATAGTGGAACTTTGTGAGCCTTGTTTGCTGTTGTATATTTTTTAGAAGAGTTGGCTTTTTTGAATCTACGAAGGACCTAATTTTAATAATATAACAAGCTCCTATCTGACACATACTATTTCATGGTATCTAACATTTTATTACCAAGTACTAATTTCTCTTAAATTTCACAATTTATATTTGTTTATTAAAATATTTATATTCTAGGCCAGGTGCAGTGGCTCACGCCTGTAATTCCAGCACTTTGGGAGGCCGAGGCTGGTGAATCACCTGAGGTCAGGAATTCAGGACCAGCCTGGCCAACGTAGTGAAACCTCATCTCTACTAAAAATACAAAAAAAAAAAAAAAAAAAATTAGCTGGGCGTGGTGGCGGGCACACGTGATCCCAGCTACTCAGGAGGCTGAGGCAGGAGAATCACTTGAACCCGGGAGGTGGAGACTGCAGCAAGCTGAGATTGTGCCATTGCACTCCAGCCCGGGTGACAAGATCAAAACTATGTCTCAAAAAAAAATTATATTCTATATTAGTGTCCCCTCAACCTCAGTAATACTGACATTTTCTGCAAAGAAAATATCCCTTGTGAGTTTCTGTCCTGTGCATTGTAGGATGTGTAGCAGCACACGTGACCTCAATCCACTAGATGCCAGTTGTACCCCTCCCACGAGCTGTGGCAACCAAAAATGTTTCCATATAGTGCCAATGTCTTTTAGGGTGCAAAATTATCCCCAGTTGAGGACCATGGACATATAACATGCCATAAGGAATTCAAATTAGCTTGTAAAATACACACAGTAAAATAAAAACAAAGTATAAATAAGAATCAAGTTTCACAAACAAATGTATATGTTGATAGAAATCCAAAATCACTGGGAGAGGAAGGGAATAGAGGTATGTAGATCTTAAGGGCTGAAAGATCTGATGTTATTGAGCCTGGCCTGTCAACTTAAGAATTATAAAGTCTACACATTTGGAAAGGAGATTTTATTCTTATAAAGTGTTGCAGCCTACAAGGTGGCCATGCTAACAGGCTGGGAAGCATAGACTGTGACAGAGACCATGTATTAGTTTGTTTTCACACTGCTATAAAAAACTGTCTGATACTGAGTATTTTATAAAGGAAATAGATTTAATTGACTCACAGTTCTGTATGTCTGAGGAGGCCACAGGAAACTTATAATGGTGGCAGAAGGCACCTGTGATGGTTAATATTGAGTATCAACTTGGTTGCATTGAAAGATGCAAAGTATTGTTCCTGGGTGAGTCTGTGAGGTTGTTGCCAAAGGAGATTAACATTTGAGTCAGTAGACTGGGAGAGGGAGACCCACGCTCAATCTGGGTGGACACCATCTAATCAGCTGCCAGCATAAAAGCAGACATGAAAAGAGCAGACTTGCTGAGTCTTCTGGCTGCCATCTTTCTGCCATGCTGGATGCTTCCTGCTCTCGAACTTCAGACTCAAAGTTCTTCAGCTTTGGACTCTTGGACTTACAACAGTGGATTGCCAAGGGCTCTAGGGCCTTTGGCCACAGACTGAAGACTGCACTATCGGCTTCCTTACTTTTGAAGTTTTGGGACTCAGACTGGCTTCCTGGCTCTCCAGCTGGCAGACAGCCTGTTGTGGGACTTCACCTTGCGTTCATGTGAGCCCATTCTCCTAATAAATTCCCCTTCATATATTCATCTATCCTATTCTGTCCCTTTAGAGAACCCTGACTAATACAAAATACATACAGTAAAATGAAGACAAAATATAAATAAGAATCAAGTATCACTAACAAATAAACCTATATATTTGTAGAAATCCAAAATCAGTGGGAGAGGAGACGAATAGTGGTATGTAGAACTTAAGGGCTGACAGATCTGATATTGATAAGCCTGTCAACTTAAGAATCATGACATCTACAAATTTGGAAATGAGACTTTATTCTTATAAAGTGTTGCAGCCTGCAAGGTGGCCATTCCAGCAGGCTGGGAAGCACAGACTGTGGCAGAGACCATGTATTAGTCTGTTCTCATGCTGTTATAACGAACTACCTGAGACTTGGTAATTTATAAAGAAAACAGGTTTAATTGACTCACAGTTCTGCATGACTGGGGAGGCCTCAGGAAACTCATAATCATGGTGGAAGGCACCTCTTTACAGGGCGGCAGGAGAGAGAATGAGCCCAGTGAAGGGGGAAGCCCTTTATAAAACCATCAGATCCCATGAGAACTCACTATCATAAGAACAACATGGGGGAAACCACCCCCAGGATCCATTCACCTCTCAACAGGTCTCTCCCTAGACACATGGGGATTATGGGGACTACAATTCAAGATGAGATTTGTATGGGGACACAGCCAAACCATATCAGACCACGAGCAGACCCCAAAAGATAGAAATGGGTGAGGCAAGAATTTATGCTGAACAGGTTGGCCAAGTATACATATTTAACAGGTTTTAAGCAGAGCTATGTATATTCACAAAGAGGGGTGGTATGCATGGGTGATTGATTAGCAAACATACATGTTATGTATGTCCCACGTTCACCTTAAGGTGCATTCTTAACATTTAAATACATTAAAATTAGGTCCCATATATCAAAAAGGGAAGCAGGGCCACGAAAGCCCTCAAGCGTGTAACTTCTGTAAAACAGCCAGAAACCAGCTCATGGTCGGTGGTTTCTTACCAAGAGAAAGTTACTGAAATCAGTCTGCTGTCCAGTAAAGCCGTAGTTTTGGCTTGTGGAATAGAGGGTCAGTTAGTCAGTGTCTGTTGGTGGATGAGCTGAAATTGTTTTATTTTTGCTGATCTGCAGGCCAGTGCTTGTTTGGTTGCTAAGGAAAAAAAAAAAAACTTGTGGGAGTTAGAACATAGTTTATTCTTTAAGTGTTGTAGGTATATGGCTTAACCCTTGCCTGACATGAACTTAGATCTTGTTTATAATTTGATATCTTATTGCTGAAAAGTACATTCACACAGTCTGTGATCTCTATTTTAAGAAACCTCACATATTTTTTTGCTTAGCTTTTCTGTAGACAAAGTAAAGAGACAGGGAATAAGAGAAACAGAGAGACAGAGGCAAAGACAGAGAAATTGACTTAACATGTGTACATGAACTGTTTATATATCCTACAATCTTTTTTTTTATAAACATACAAAACACACATGCAAACAGACAGGCACATAGATGCCCCTTCTCCATCTCAGTAATAACTCCAGTCATCTATATTTATTCAATTTTTTCAAAAGCGTGAAACCCAATGATTGTCTTGGTTCCTCTCTTTCTCTTACCCACCTACCCCACATTCAATCTATTATTAGCAAATCTTGTCTATTATATCGCCAAAATCCATCTGAAATCCGTCTATTTTGCTCCATCTTATTGGCCATTTACCTTAATCCAAGCTTCTATCATCTCTTGCCTGGTTTACACTAACAGCCTTCTAATTTGTCTCTTCATTTCTATTTTTTACCCTTTCAACCACTTCTCAGAGGAATCTTCTTGAATGTACATCAAATCATGTTACTCTCCCACTCAAACACTTCAATGGCTTATAACTGAACTCAGAATAAAATCTGAACTCCAAAATCCAGATCCTGCCTATTACTCCAAACTGTTTCCTATTTCTCTCCCATGGAGCACCATGAGTCAACCAGATTGATCTTCTTTCAGTTCTTCCAATATAGAAGACTCTTCCTCCACATCAGGTACTGCACATTATTTCCAACTTTTGACAAGGGCATCATTTCATGACTTTCAGTTACAATAACAATATACATACACACACACACACACACACACACACATATATATAAAAATACATACACTTATACACGAATATGACTTGTTTCAGGGATTTAACCTTAGGCAATTGTAGGAGCTGCATAGGGCATCTTTTTAATGCCATTATTTTCATGAATGATTTTGGAACGTGACATTTATAGGGAAGGCATTGAAGAAAGAAGATGAATGTAAAATGGGGAGAGCAAAGACAAGCTGGAACCCCAGGAACATGAGCTGCAGCCCATGAGGATGGTCAGGAATCAACAAAGATTAACTGGAGTTGTGTCAGTTCGTATTGTCTTCAACCCTGGTTAAGTGGGAGTTTTGCAGGAAAACTTGGTGCCCTTTGTCATGGAGCTTACAACTCATACAAAGGAGAGGAGTCAGCACATAAGACACAAGATGTATGAACTACAGAAGCACCTCCCCAGACCTCTTGTAAGTGGGGAAAAAAACCACCTTGATCAGTGCTGCTTCTCTTTCATCCACCAAATCTTATGCAAAAATGTCTCTTATGGCCCAACCTATCAGAAACATACATACGGGAAAGAAGAATTCTGGGGAAAATGCTTTAGTCTAGCCATGTTGGCAAATTGCAGAGCCACCACATCCTCCAAACTGATTGCATTCTGGTATAGGATATAAATATGTCTATTCATTTTGAACCAAATGCAACAAAAACTTAGAAAACTTACATGCTGAAAAAATTAAGTAACATAGGACACTTAGGTTGATTTATCAGTAGTTCTTTAAAGGTGCAAAATTTCTAAAATTAAATTGGTCATGGGCAGCAAACATGTCTAAACTATTTGGCTGACTTTTTTTGTTATTATACAGTACTAGTTTCTTCACAAAATATTATCACTGAAATATTTTGTGTATATAATATTTTTAAAAATTTTGAAAACCATGACTTCTGTTTGGATTCACAGAACATTGTTACTTTTGTAGATGTAATTGTAAATTATGTATGTACTACTACCAATTTAAGGTACATTTCTGCCCTATATCTTTCTTATTTTAGTGGAAATGTTGTTTTACCAAACTGGGACCTCCCAGTATCTGAATTATGACTACAGTTTTGAACTGTTAAAGAAAATTTTAAATGACATTTAAAATCACTTCGGATATTTCATTTTTGACACAATGATTTTTCAAAAGCTTTGATTTCATAAATTTGACTTCTTAAAATAAAATAAATAGAACTAAATTCAATTATTATTGAAATAGTATTGAGAAAATTTCATTTTTATCTGAAGTATCTGATAATACTGACATAAAATCACCTTTTTTGGCCATCTTCGAATATTATCTTCTGCAAGTATAAGCTACACATTACAAGATATTATGTAACTTTTCCTGCATGTGGTAGCATATTGAATTTTAAAATGGGTGACATTTATTTAGAACAACGATTTGATCTAAAGGACAAGTTGTACTTCATAGAGTAACATGTAAACTCAAATTTTGCAGCTGCATGTGTTAATGGTAAGCCTTCAGTCACAGTCTTCGTACATAACGAGTAACATTTAAAGTAGTTGCCAATGCTTTTTCAGCAGATTTGTGATTTTCTGGTTTCCGTATGAACAGGGATAGCACTATGACCCCAGTAAGGACAGAGGATGGGGGTAAACATATAAAATGTTTTTCATTGTTAACTTCCTTGAGAGACAAAAATTGAGCACTTAATTTTTTTCATTAAACATGAATTTTCAGTTTTTGTGCTCATAACTACAAAAAAATTACAAAATTCCTTAAATAATAAAGAATAAAAAAATTGTCCATATACAACTTGTAAAAATGAGAGACGACTACATTTGAATTTGAAAAGACATTTGAATTACTCTTTTACTGATTACAGCATGGCTGCTCTGCCCAAATTTCCTACATATATTTCTTGGACACAACCTATAATTTTCTAGGTTTCCCAGTGCCCCTGACAAGTGGTAACCTAGAGGTCTATGAAGTTTGCAGTTCCTGGTAAAGATCATAGCACAACCGACTTACAGAGAGGCAGCAGAGTCAATTACTTCTCCCATCAAACTCTGAGACTAGAATAAGTAGTTGTCCATAGCACCTTCCAACAGACACTTCATTTTATCTGCAGACATCTTGCATGCTCTTTGAAAATGAAGGTCAGAGGAAAAGAAATGAGTTATCACTGTTCACTGCACAAGCATATCACATATTACCAAATAAGACCGAGTCAGAAAATAGAAGTATAAATTTCAGATCAGCCAAAGCAACCCTGGCATACTTTAATGTAGCAATTAATATTAATACTCTATTAAAAATGAAATATATAGAAAAATGCAAGATTGGACTGGATTCCAAGAGTACAGGAATAAACAAGGAGCCGTCTAAAGCAAACTGGGACTTACAATTACTCTACACTTAGGTAACTATGACTCGCTTTAAGTTTCAGAACTTATTCAAAGCTTTTCTCCATCTCCTAACTTGGGCTTTGGGATCTGCCTTTGAGAACAGGGTGAATAGGTGGTGCCTGGTCTCTTCCTTCACTCTTCTCTGAACTATACTTCTTCTAGCCAGACAGATGGAGCCAGCCTTTAAAATTACCTCAAATAATTCTCATATTCTGGTATTCACAACTTTGTTTATCCCTTCTCACACTGTAGAGGGCTGACCTATATGACCAATAGGAAATTGAAGAAGTAACAGAGTGTTATTATTTATTTACTTATTTATTTATTTATTTATTTATTTATTTATTTATTTATTTATTTTGAGACAGAGTCTCTCTCTGTCGCCCAGGCTGGAGTGCAGTGGCGTGATCTTGGCTCACTGCAAGCTCTGCCTTCCGGGTTCACACCATTCTCCTGCCTCAGCCTCCTGAGTAGCTGGGACTACAGGCGCCCACCACCACGCCCAGCTAATTTTTCATATGTTTAGTAGAGACAGGGTTTCACCATGTTAGCCAGGATGGTCTCGATCTCCTGACCTCGTGATCCGCCTGCCTCGGCCTCCCAAAGTGCTGGGATTTGGGTGAGCCACCGCGCCCGGCCAACGGAGTGTTATTTCTGACAGTTAGTCATAAAAGATGCTGGGACATCTTCTTTGTTTTCTCTATTAAATCACTTGCTTTTGGGGATGCCAGCTACCACATTGTGAAGGCATTTGAGGAGCCTTATGAAGCGGTCCATAAATTTTTGCAATCTACTCATCTGACAAAGGGTTAACATCCAGAATCTACAATGAACTCAAACAAATTTACAAGAAAAAAACAAACAACCCCATCAAAAAGTGGGCAAAGGATATGAACAGACGCTTCTCAAAAGAAGACATTTATGCAGCCAAAAGACACATGAAAAAATGCTCATCATCACTGGCCATCAGAGAAATGCAAATCAAAACCGCAATGAGATACCAACTCACACCAGTTAGAATGGCGATCATTAAAAAGTCAGGAAACAACAGGTGCTGGAGAGGATGTGGAGAAATAGGAACACTTTTACACTGTTGGTGGGACTGTAAACTAGTTCAACCATTGTGGAAGTCAGTGTGGTGATTCCTCAGGGATCTAGAACTAGAAATACCATTTGACCCAGCCATCCCATTACTGGGTATATACCCAAAGGATTATAAATCATGCTGCTATAAAGACACATGCACACATATGTTTATTGCGGCACTATTCACAATAGCAAAGACTTGGAACCAACCCAAATGTCCCACAATGATAGACTGGATTAAGAAAATGTGGCACATATACACCATGGAATACTATGCAGCCATAAAAAATGGTGAGTTCATGTCCTTTGTAGGGACATGGATGAAGCTGGAAACCATCATTCTCAGCAAACTATAGCAAGGACAAAAAACCAAACACCGCATGTTCTCACTCCTAGGTGGGAATTGAACGATGAGAACACATGGACACAGGAAAGGGAACATCACACGCCGGGGCCTGTTGTGGGGTCGGGGGAGGGGAGAGGGATAGCATTAGGTGGTATACCTAATGCTAAGTGAGGAGTTACTGGGTGCAGCACACCAACATGGCACATGTATACATATGTAACAAACCTGCACGTTATGCACATGCACCCTAAAACTTAAAGTATAATAAAATAAAAAAGAAAATAAACTGAAGCCTTTTTCCAACAGCTAACAAGCAATTGAGGCTTCCTACCAACAGCTATGTGAGAGAACCATCTTGGAAGTGAATTATCTTGCCTCTGTCGAGCCTTCAGATGACTGCATCTGCAACCAACATATTGATTGCAAACTCATGAAAGATCTCAAGTCAGAGCTACCTAGCTAAGCCACTTCTGAAATTTTACCCACAAAGTCTGTGGAATAATAAATGTTTATTGTATCTAAGACAATTTTGGGGGGAATAATTTGTTACACAGCAAGAAAGAACTAATAGACTCCCCCAGCATTAAGAAGTAGTAGGGTAATTACAGGAGTGGGACAAGTCTTGTATTGGCTGCTGTATTTATAAATTCAGCCTTTAGGGCTTCATTTTATAATATGTGCCTACATGCTGGGTGATTTTTGAGGGCCTCATTAGTTATTCCTTTTTTTTTTTTTTTTTTTTTTGATATGGAGTCTTGCTCTGTCACCCAGGCTGGAGTGCAGTGGCGCAATCTCGGCTCACTGCAAGCTCCGCCTCCCAGGTTCACGCCATTCTCCTGCCTCAGCCTCCCCGGCAGCTGGGACTACAGGCACACACTGCCACGCCAGGCTAGTTTTTTGTATTTTTAGTAGAGACGGGGTTTCACTGTGTTAGCCAGGATGGTCTTGATCTCCTGATCTTGTGATCCGCCCGCCTCGGCCTCCCAAAGTGCTGGGATTACAGGCGTGAGCCACCGTGCCGGCCCCAGTTATTCCTTAGAGCATTGTTTTATTTTGTTTTGTTTTTATTTCCACAATGATTTTTTTTTTTTTTTTTATGCAGGCAACACAGTCTCTGGAAGACTTCTTGCCACACCCTTTAATCTTCTGCCCTGGGAAGCATACCCATAGTTTATTCTTGTTCCAGTCCTTTCACCCTAGCAGGTTGCTTTCTTGGGCATAGTCCCATCAAAGTTTCAAGATGACTCAAACAGACGACCTTCTGAGGTGCCCACTTAGCCAAAAGGAACAATCTCTCATTTTAGACACACCTAAAGATAAAAATGCAGTTTGCCCAACTGCCAATCTCTCTGTCCTTACACTGCCATTTGGAGCTACTCCGTCCACTCAGTTTTTATGTTCATTTATATTCCTAGACTTCTAAAGACACTGTCCAGTTCTTCCAAAGACTCTTTCTCTATGCTCCATCTGGGTAGGCTCGTCACTTGAGCCTATGAATGTCTGTAGCTTGGGAAGCTTCCTTCTGGATAATGCAATACCTATCTTCTCTTACAGGGACACTGAATTTGTACAAGTTGACATTAAGGAATCTTCTCACAACTCTGGTTTACTGGGAAAGATTTCAAAAGGCATTGCAGTTTTTATTCCTATGTGTCCCCTTCAATAAAATATCCCTTAAAATGTATAGTATTACCTTCTGAAGGCTGGACGTAGCATACATAACTGGACCAATTTTGCTAGCTTTTAGTATGTCCTGCATAGATGTGTTGTGCATTACTCTCCTCAGCTCTGAGATTTTAGCCAAAATCGCTAGACAACTGAAAAAGCCACAACTTATTATCTTGTCATAATAATCCTCAAATTTATATTCTCCTCACTAGCTAGAACATAGATGAAAGGTACATAATATGTTTTCTTTTTAAATAAAGAGATGAAATAAATTAAATCTTATTATCAGTGACATAACTACTTATGTTCTAAAATAAATTTTCCATATGAAGCATCCTATAGCAGTTATTTTGTAACATAATGGCTAATTTTCAACTGTGTGAAACTGAGTAATGACTTTTAAAAACCAAGGATGTAACAAAGCTATGTTTCCAAAAATAATCAAATTCATATTCTTCACACAACTCAGGAGGAGAATACCTCTAGTAAATGAGATCAAAACTTAGCAAAGAAGAAAGAGGAAAAATCTGAAACAATAAAAATATGGAAATCACAGTTGCCAAACAGTAAACTACAATAGCAACAATTAATTTCTGACTCACTCTGAAAAACTCCTATGAAGAAATGCTTAGGAACATGTATTCTGGAGTTAAAATTTACCATCTGTATGACCTTGTGTAAATTACTTAAATTATATAAGCATTAGTTATTTCGTTTTTCAGAATAGATGAAAATTGAACCTCACAGGGTGGTTGGAAGAATTAAATTAGATAATGCATATAGAACACATAATGCATAGTCAATATGTAATAAATGTTAGCTTCTATTACTAAAGATGATTGAATAAAGAAAAGTAAGACAAACTTAGCAAGTTACTTTAGGCCATAAAGGACAGAGATTAAAAGATTAAACATTTTATAATAAATACATGCTCAATACGCAAGGCATATTCCAGAGAAGTAGCTTACAAATCTTTGGTGATGTTGAAAGAGAAAATAATAGAAAGAGAAAAAAGTCAGTATTCAAAGATGTAATAGTAAACTTTTAGTCTCTGGACAAAGACATTTTTTTCCTGAAAATTGGAAGTGCTCAAAATGTATTAAGGAAAATGGACAAAATTAATTCTACACCTGCACTCATGTTAGTGTATTATTTTTTTCTTGGTGAAATTTTTAGATTTCTGTTATAAGGAAAAAGCTCTGTATATACCCATTAAAAAGATAAATAATACAGTAATAACAAGTAGAGGAAAAAAAGCTATTCCATGAAAGACGTAGACTTAGGTTGACCCCAGTGTCCTCTGCAACACTAAACCCTGAAAGAGATTGAATCAAGATCCGTGGTAGTTTTACTCAGAAAAAAAATATTGTTTATATGTGAAGACATTTTTAAACATGCTATCATTCAAGAATTATGCCAACATGTTCTTTCTTAATAAAGTATTTGAAGTTCTTCCTAAATTAAGTTATTGGAAAAATGTGCTCTAGAAAAAACAGAGAAATTTTCAAAGGATACACAATTACAAATGATGCAAATAGCAGGATTTTCTTTTTTTAAAAGCTGAATAATATATGTGTGTGTATGTAGATACATATATACATATATATATAATTTTCCTTATTATTCATTTTTTATCCCTTTATCTGTCTATGGACACTTAGGTTGTTCCTGTATCTTGGTTATTAATGATGTTGAAATGAACATGGGAGTTCAGATATTTTTCTGGTCACGATTATTTTCTTTGGAATATATACCCAGAATTGGGATGGCTGGATCATACACATGAACCTGGAGGACATTATACTTTGTGAAAGAAGTCAGAAGCAGAAGGACAAATATTGTATGCTCTCACTTTTCTATGTGGAATTTAAAAAAATCAAATTCATAGAAACAAAGAGTAAAAGTGTGGTTACCATAAGTTGAGAGTGGGAAATGGAAAGATGCTGATCAAAGGTTACAAAGTTTCAGTTATGCAGAATGAATAAGTTCTGGAGATCCACTGTGTATACTATGGTGACTATAGCTAATATACTGTATTGTATACTTAAAATTTGCTATGAGAGTAGACCTTAAATGTTCTCACCACACACAGATACACAACACACACACACACACACACACACACACACAGACACACACACGGTAAACTATGTGAGAAAATGGGTATGCTAATTAGCTTAATTGTGGTAATGATTTCACAATGTGTTTAAATATCAAAACATCACATTGTACACTTTAAATATATATAATGTTTATTTGTTTGTTATCCCTCAATAAAGGCAGGGGAAAAAAAAAGATGAGAGCTATAGTAAACGTATGGAGAAAGTGCTTTAGGAACACCAAAAGAGGGACAATTGATTCTAGTTGTGAAGGTCTAACAATTAGGGGAGAGAATTTAGCTTCTTAAGAAGAAAAGTAGAATTTACCAAACAAGGATATTCTAAATAAATAAGTGTATTGTGAAGGCATTAAGTCAAACAGGTGCTTGGCATTTTCAGGATTTAAGTGTAGTGCAGTTCTTTGTCACTATCTCTGTGTATTCAAGAAGCATTTTCTTTCACTGAAACCAACTTTCAAGACAATAAAACTGCACAGCAATTAAAATTCTAGGCAATTTTGGAAAAATTGGAACTAACAAGCCGATATATAAATATAGACTTTAAATAATTTGCTTCAATGTCACTAAAAAGTTATTTTTGTATTTAACTAGAAATAAGAAAACGATATTGTAAAAACCAAACAAAATAAATGTAAAAGTAAGAAACAGATTCTACCACCCTAGATTTTATTTGCAAAAACTTAGAAAGAAAACCTACATTTTCTGCTGATTTGCTGACAACTCTGTAATGACTAAGAATTAAAACTCATCATTCATAAATTATCATTTATTATTTATTTATATTAATTTCCTTGCCTTTATTTCAGGAAAATCACAAATCATGCTGTAATATATTTATCACATAATTGAGGTTCTTTTGATAGGGTTATCAGATTGGACAACCATCTTTAGTAATTTCGGTTTTCATGTTTTTTATCAATGTGAGTCTGGATAAGGCAGTATTGGAATTCTCAATAGCGTTATGTAAGTAATACCTAGGTTCGAAGATAAAACTATAATTGTTACCTATGATGCCTGTATATTTTAATGGTGTAGCATATGATAAATCATTGTTATCACAGAAAAGCATAAATATTTAAATTTAATCATGTATCACTATCACTCATAATATAAATTTCATCAACTTTTAAAGCAATGTCTAGATCCAATTACTATTTCTAAAGTGATTTAACATTCTACAACGGTGGTACATTTTTTGAGAAACAGAAGAGCAGCATATTTGAAATTAGTTCAGTTCTCTCATCAGGTCAATTTATTTTTGATCTATAATAAGCAGAAAATATTTCTATATTTAAACATGTATATAATATTTAGAAAATAATATTTTAATATTTAGAAATTAGTTTGGAGATTATTTTTATTTGAAGCTTCTTCATAGAATTGAAAATGTTTTTTATTTCTCTTTCTAGTTGTATCAAAAGGCAAATTTTGTTGTATATTTCACAAGCAGTTTTTTTCAATTAATACCTTTCTTCCAAAATTTTATATTATTTTAAATTCTATAACAATATGTATGCAATTTTTTTGGAACATTATTGATAGTAGGGAATCTTACATACAAAATAACTGAATGTTACCGTTCAAAATAATTGTGTTTTCTACCAAAGATACAATTTGTTCTTATTTAGAGGATATATATTCTAATGTATCTCACACCATATCTAAATTAAGTTTAATTGCTCTAATGGTATTTAGTCAGCATTTGCATTGTACATTTGAACAATTTTAAGAAAAAATCTGATATGTATTTTTTTAAAGATATTCCATTTGGGGACAGATCCATAAATATGATACGCAACTTTTTAATTGTTCCAAAGAATGTCATCACTATCAACGCTGTTAAGGCCATCGCTTTGAAGAACAAAATCAAAATATGGTGCAAATATGGCTTCTAGATTTTTGACTAAAATTCAGGTTTGCACACCGTTATCTTTGCCATATTTATTAGAACCATTTACATAGACTTCTCCTCAACAATATCTTAAATTATTTCAATACAGATTATTCATATTTTTTGAAAATTTGTTTTATAAAATATTCTTATACAAATATTTTAATTATATTAATCAGTCCATATCTGTCTTTTTTCCAATGTACATGAAACAGTATCATGTTTTACATACTTTACATCTAAACATGCATCACTATCCAATTTTTATTATTTGAAAAGTAATATTTTATTGAAAAAAAGTCCCTCACCTACCATGTGTAAATGTTGCAAATGCCATACTACTTTGTGAGTACCGGCTTGTAAATACAAGGAGAAGCAAGAGAATGAATGCTTCTCACTACTGAAAAATGATATTTCCTAATGAAAGGATTACTACAATCATGCTATTTGAGAGGAGGGACATGAGAAGTTAATTAATTTCCTTTTTTTTTTTTTTTTTTTTTCACCTAAGCACTTTCACAAATCCTCCCTGAACTCTGAAGGAAAGTCTGTCTCCAATATTGTCAGAGGCAAACTCTATGAAATTTGCTGGCATTGATACATAGTTACCTTTCTTTGAAGGGAAAGACCTTTGAAGAAATGTATCCCTGAAGGCTAAACAGTGTCGATGATATTCAAGGTGCTCATGTGTCCATGATTAAGGTAGTGGGTCTACTACTACTGGCTTCCAACCAAGAGTAGTGGGAAAATAGTGGGCAAATTTGTGACAGTGTACCTAACTAATATTTATTTAAACCATGTTTAGCAATGCCATAAGTAATTGAGTTTTATTACTGTAAAATATATAAATCAGTTTTGTAAAAAATAATACAATATTCCCTATGATTGAATTAAATTCAGATAGAATTTAAGAGCTGAATAGATCATTAGAAACCACTTAGTTCATTCTTTTCATTTTTCCTATTAGAAAGCTCCTTGTAGCAACATGGATGGATTTTGAGGCCATTATCCCAAGTGAACTAATTCAGAAACAGAAAGTCAAATACCACAAGTGGGAGCTAAGCAATGGCCACACATGGACATAAAGATGAAAATATTAGACGAGACCCCAAAAGGGGAGAGGGTGGGAGGTGGGGTGAGTGTTGAAAAATTACTTAATGGGTACAATGTTCACTATTTTTGTAGTGAATACACTAGAAGCTCAATCCCCACCAGTATGTCATATAACCATGTAACAAATGTACAAATGTACCAACTGAATCTAAAACAAAATTAAATTTGAAAAAATTTACAAGACAAAAAAAGGAAACTACAGTTTAGAGAAAGAAAACGACTTGCCCAAAGCATCAGAACTTAAAATCAACAAAAGAGGACTACATTGTTGGTCCTTTGACTTCTGCAGTCATTATCAATGTTGATCACTGATACCTTAGGCTGGTGAAAACAAATGGAACCTGCAGGAAAATGCAAGGATTTCTATCAAGTGATAAGAATTAGTACTTGAAGCAAAAGAGATTTCCACAATTTAACTGTTTTATTTTCTCAGTTTTTCTTCATCTAAATATGTCCTTAATATAATCTGAGGAAGCACTATACCACAGGGATGCATTTACTAAAATTTCTTAATAAATAAATGACAGCAGACTCTAATGAAACACAAAATAAAGTGAAATCATAAAATAACTCCAAATGCTAAAATGTGCTTAGATGAAAAAGGAAATTTAGAGCTGAAATTCTGTATAGAATTTCAATTAAGTTTGACAGCTGTCTTATTACCAGATTTGATACATTGCATTATAAAATGATAATCCTTTTATCAGCATAAGTTTCCTATAATTTAGGTAATAAGATCCTCATATAAAAGCTACAAGTTTTAATATCACAGTTTCCTCAATTTTGCAGTGACTTTCATATAAAATGTTAAGAAGAAAAATATTACTAAAACACAGGAAGAATAAGACAACTTAAAATTGATGAATAACCAAATTACATAATAACTGTGGTGGGAGAAGTTTAACTTATATGTACTCTCATTCTAATTTGAACTCATGTATGGCATCACAAAGGTTTTCCAAGGTAAAAGGTAATTAGTCTGAATAGTTTAAAAAATCCCATTTAACCTCAGTTTCAAGAGAATGCTTAATGGAATAATAACAGCAGCCTAAACTAATGATTGGATGGAAGTTATTAGCCTAAATACACAAGAATTTACAGTTCAGACAGCAAAACATTGCACCACAATCATAGAGGATTAGAAACAAAAAGATCATTAGTGAGCAAAATTTTAAAGAAACAGAATGGGAAAGTCATTTATCCAAGGGCAAAAATCAAAACAGCAATAACACTAAGATTATTAAATTATCAAATGGGGAAAGAAGAGAACTTTTAAAATACAACAACATAGGGAAGTAGATATTCACAGAGCCTCAAAGTAATACCCCATATAGTATTTATTACAAAGGAATAAAGTAATATTACAATAGAGAAACATGGCAGACACTATTTTAATCAAGTGATCATACTTAACATTACTAATAATGGGACAAACTGACATGTGGCTTTTGATGGAGTGCAATGGGAAGGACACAGCTTCATTTATGTGGTTTTCTTGCCAAAAATATTTGACCTGGATCTAATAAAGATAAATTCACCAGAAACGTTTCTATTTTAGGATGTTCTACCATTGACTAACAGAGACTCTAACAATGACAATGTTTGAAATAAAACAAAAGGTGTTTGTGTGCAAAGGGAATGTTCTAGACCAAAGGAGATCAAAAATATATGGCAATCAAATGCAATGTTTGATCTCAGATTAGGTTGAGAATTGGAAAAACGAACAAGGAGATGTAAACAATATTATTGGTACAATTGGGAAAAGTTGAATATATAACATATATTGAATAATAATTCTACCAATTTCAAATTCCTTGGGTATCATAATGGTATTATAGTAATATGCAAAAGTGCCATGATACCTGATGATGTATATAGAGTTGAAGTGAGAGAAAAAAAAAAACACTTAAATGTGATAAGATGTTAATTAATTAATCTATGTGAAGATTATACAGATGTTCATTCTACTATTCTTGCAACTTTTACATAGATTTAATATTTTAAAATATTAAATCCAAGCAACAGCAACTCCTAGTGTAGATTTAGAACAATGTATATGCTTATAACTGTTATCTCAATTTGGCATGAAGTTAACTTTACAATGTTGTTAAGCTACCCTGGACCAAACATGCATATACCTTGCTAATAAAAGGGATGTGTGCTTTAAAAACCCAAATATTCATAAATGAAAAACTATAATGAATCTTAATCAATCCATGTATGATACCACAATTGTCAAGTGCACCAAAATTAAATATGTACTTTATGATATTACCTGAATTATCAACAAAATATAAGAAAATAAATGGATTACAGGATATCTAGAGATGGCTTTGTAAACCAAAAATAAGATCCTAAGTGCCCAACTGACTGAATGGATCCCCTCTTGGCTAAGGGGGCACCAGAGAAACCTTAAAACTGAGTTTCTGGCCGTGACAGTATGGGAGGTCAGACATGCCTCGTTATATCCCTTCCATTTTGCAGTTTAGACGAAACTGACCGGCACTAATGTTAAAACAGAGATCCTAAGACTGATAGAACAGACTCTTTTTTTGGCAATAAAATACCAAATTATAAACAGGACCTAAAGCCAGGCCAGGCAAAGGTTAAGTCAGGAACTTCTACACTTAAAGAATAAACTATGTTGTAACGGCCACAAGGCTTTTGTTTTTCCTTAGCAGCTAAACAACCACTGTCCTTAAGATAAGCAATGTTAAAACAATTAGAAATTATTTAGATCACAGGTTGACCCCCGGTTCCACCAGTCATGACTACAGCTTTAATTGAACAAGAGAATGATTTCAGTAACCTTCTCCTGACAAGAATATCATCGACCATTGAATGGTTCTGGCTGGTTTACAGAGATTGTGCACTTGCGGGCTTTCGTGTCCTGCAAATACAGTTTGACTCATGGGGCCCAATTATAATACATTCAAATATTAAGTCTTCACTCTAAGATGAACATGAATTGTATGTTACATGCGTGTTTGTTCAATATACATTGGTCAGGAACAACTTTCATGAATACTCATAGTTCCTCCTGTAATCTGTTGAATATTTATGTTTAACAAACTTGTTAGCATAAAGCACCTACCCCAACTCCTCTTCCTTGATTGTGCTTGTCTCTGTTCTTGGCTGGAGGCATGCTTCCCAGCCTGTGGGAAGTCTACCTTGCACCTTTATAAGAAATCAAGTCTCATTTCTCCTCTTCTTTTCTAAATTTATATACTATTTTTTAAGTTAACATTGTTAAAGACTCAGCAATATTCTGTAATTCATTTTTGAACATACAATATTTTATGTAAAACCTTAATTCTAATATGTTGTTAAAATTGTTTCTCATTGAGTAATACATACTAGGTCTTACACAAGTTTACATATCTTCTTCAGATTGCTCTGGTAACCCATGGTAGTTCTAGTTTAGCCCACACACGATTCTAGAATCCAAAAACTCCAAGAGAAGGATATTTTACATATTGCACCATGAGGATGAGGAAAACAACCACCCTAACTATGACGCTCAAAACAAAAAAGCCCTGTTCCTGACATTATGCATTGAAATCATCAAAATATGTTCTACACTCCTAGTTCAGACTTTCATATGTCAGTTAACAAATTTACATTTAAAACCAGAGCATGGTGGTGTCACCATTCAGCCAACAATTCAACTTCTTGTGTAACCATCTTTGCCTACTCTTCAATGTTTTTGGAATTAAAAAAATAGTCAAGTATACTCCTATTCCATTAAAAAAAAATTTAAAAACAATAAAAGTTAACTACTACTAAGAAAACTACAAAAATACAGTTAGATAGAAGGAATAAGTTTTAGTGTTCAATAGCACAACAATGTAACAGTGGTTACTAATAATTTATTACATATTTCAAAATACCTAGAAGAGAAATTTTGGAATGTTTCCAACACAAAGAAATGATACACGTTTGAGGTGATGGATATCCTAATTACCATGAGTTGATAATCACACATTGTATGAATATAACAACATGTCACATTTACCCATCAATATCCATAATTTAACGTATCAATAAAAAGTAAGATAATAAAATATGTTCAATGTATGTCAAATAAACACCTGGAAACCTACAACAAATATAACCCAAATTTATTATTTAATAAAATTGAGGTAATAAAATAATCAGATCTGCTGAAATCTATGATTCTGCAGTTATACTTGCTTATTATATTAATCTGAGAAAAAAATGCTTTATATGAAAATTAAAAGAACTAAAAGTATAAATCATATATAAATATGACATTCCAAACTATAAAGATTCTAGACAAAATCATGGGAGAAACTCTATGTGATGCTGGGTTGGGTGACAAATTTTTAGGTACAAACCAAAAGCATGATTTATGAAAGAAAAGTTAGGTGAGTTGAATTTTATTAACATGTAAAAAATCATTCCGTGTAGAAGATACTATTAAGAAAATTAAAAGACAAGTCAACAAACTGGAAGGAAATATTTGCAAAACATATGTTTTATAATAAACTTATATCTAAAATATATTTTAAAAACCTCTTAAGATACCGGGGAATAATGCAACCAAGATGGCAGACTAGGGGATACCAGCCTTCATCTTTCCACAAAAACAAACAAACAAAAAATACAGACAGCTATCCTAAAACCAAATAGTGCTGGAAAGATTCAAGGATTCATTTCTGAATCTATAGAGGCAAAGTATATCAAATAAAAACAAACTGAAGAAACATAAACACAGAAAGATAACTAGGGAGATCAGCATACCTAAGATGTCAGGAGAAGGTTAGGAACAATAAAGAAAGGTAGAGGCTATTGGTATAAGCCACGTGGTGGAGAACCACTGTGGTCTCCAGTAGTCTGCTCCACAGAGAACACCAGCATCTTTTGCCACTGATGTAACCAAAAACTAGTCCCTCTGGGGAATGCTAGAGAGGGAGATGTGACTGCACACCCTACCCCAAGAAGAAGTTGCAGTTGTACTGCTTCAGAACCAAAACTACTACCTCTCCTAAACCCATGCATGCCTCTAATACCCGAGCCACAGCCTCCCTGCAACTGTCTACACTCTAGACCACGGATTTGTGATTGTACCGCACCTGCTGACACTTCAGACATTAAAGCCATTGCCATAGTAAGCTAGTTCTCACCCTGGGCCCAGTAGACAAGGACTCTCTGCACATGTGTGCACTCTGGGCACCAGCTCAGCCACCGTAGACAGCTACACCCTGCCCCAACCCCAGAGACATCATAGCTCTGAGCATGCCTGTGCTTCATCTTTTGGTCCCAGGCTGCTTCCTAAGCACTCACGTGTGGCACACTATTAGTAATGCAGTAGAAGGTGTACATGTGTCCTAGGCTCTTATGCCATTATAACCCTGCACCCGAGAGCCATAATGCCTCCACATGGGCTTATGCTTCAGGCTTTTACTCTATGCCCACCTCATGGATGCCACTTATCAGCCATCTGTGCCATCACCACTGTTAGCAGGACAGTAAGCCAGAATCAATGCCAAGACTAAAAGAGGAATCCCCACATCCACAACTTCCCAGGTGGAAAAAGAAAAAGATCAGGAGGTACATAGCAGTCATCACTAACAAAGACTCTAACAACCCTCATTTCCACTGTAGACATCCACAGTGTTTGTTGCTGAGGATCCCTGTAACCATCAACACTGACCTCATTTGACATATCTGCATGGAGACTACATAGCTGTTCCCTTACCAGTGCCAGAACTATTCCATACCACCCAGCCGGCACTGTCACACCTCCTAATAGGTAAAGTTATTTCCCCCTGAAACCAGACTGTAAGGTATGAAAGAGGTGATTGCTCCACCAAATATGCAAACATAAGACAACAAAAAACACAAAAACATCAAGAAAAATGTTGACACTAGAAAAGCAACATAATTTTCCAGTAACAGACCCAAAAGGAAAGGAGATAGAGAGTATTTGACCAAATTCAGAATAATTGATTTAAGGAGGCTCAGAAAACTTCAAGAAAATATAGATAGATAATTCAGTTAAATTAGGAAAACTACAAACAGACAAAATGTCAAATTTAGCAGGATTGAAATACACACACACACACCCCAGAAATGTGGAGCTGAAAGCTACATGAATTAAAGATGCAATGGAAACTATCAACAACAGACATGATCAAGCAGAAAATATAATCTGTGAACTAAATGATAAGTTATTTAAAATAAGAGTGTCAAAGGAGAAAAAATGGAAAAGAATGAAAAGGACTGGACAAAAACTGTGGAATTTATTGGATATCATTAAGAGCTAATATTTGTATTATAGGGGTTCAAAGGTAGATGAAAAAGAGGAAACAAGCTTATTTAAAAACATAATAGCTAAAAATGTCCTAAATCTGGACAAAGATATAAACATTCTTGTACAGGAAGGTAAAGACTTTCAATCAGATTAAATGTAAAGAAGACTGCACCAAGATATATTATAATCAAGCTGCCCAAAATAAAAGATAAAGAGGATTCTTACAGAATCAAGAGAAAAGAAACAGATTACACATAAGGGAATTACAATAAGGCTGTCAGTAAATTTCTCAGAAAAAAAAAAAAAAAGATTACAGGACAGCAGAAAGTAGGCTGATATCTTCAAAGTGCTGAAGTAAAAAAAGAACTACAAAAATACAAAAATAAACCTGCCAACAAAATGTAATTTACAGGCAAATGGTCCTTCAGAAATTAAAGAGATAAAAACATTCACAGACAAATAAAAGGTGAAGGAGGTTATCACCACTAGACCTGCCTTACAAGAAATGATGAGGGAGTTCAACAAGCTGGAAGAAAAAAATGCTAATTAGTAATACAAAGACATATGAAAGTATAAAACTCACTGCTACATAGTAAAATGCAGAATACACTAATACTATAATATTGGTGTGTAAATAACTTATATTTTTTAAAGAAAGTTAAAAGGCAAAGCTATCAAAATAATATAAAAATTCTTTTTTTATTTTTTATGTTTTTTATTTTTAATTTTTGTGGGTATATAGTAGGTGTATACACTTATGAGGTACATAAAATGTTTTGATAAGGGCATGCAATGCATATGATCACATCATGAAAAATGGGGTATCCATCACCTAAGCATTTAATGTTTCCAGGTGTTAAAAATAAAAATATGCTTTTAGCTATTTCGAAATGTACACATATTATTGAGTATTATCACCATGTTGTGCTATCAAAGAGTAGATATTATTTATTCTAACAGTGATTTTTGGAACCATTAACCATCCCCACCTCCCTGCTCAGCCACTCACTACCCTGCCCAGTGTGTGGTAACCATCCTTCAACCCTCTATGTCCATTAGTTCAATTGTTTTGATTTTTAGATCCTACAAATAAGTGAGAACATGCAATGTTTTCCTTCCTGTTCCTGGCTTATTTCACTTAACATAATGATTTCCAGTTCAATCTATGTTGTTAGAAATGACAGAATCACATTCTTTTTATGGTGGAATAGCACTCCATTGTGTACAAATACCATATTTTCTTTACCCATTCAGCTGTTGATGGACACTCAAGTTGCTTCCAAATCTTGGCTATTATGAAGAGTGCTGTAACAAATACGGGGGTGCAGATATCTACTCAATGTAATATTTTCATTTATTTTGGGGATATACACAGCAATGGGATTGCTGGGTCATAGGGTAGCTCTGTTTTTAGTTTTTTGAGGAACCTCCAAACTGTTCTCCACGGTGGATGTACGAACTTACATTCCCATCAACAGATTACAAGGGTTCTCTTTTCTCCACATCCTCAATAGCATTTGTTATTGCCTGTTAAAATTAAACCATTTTAACTGGAGTGAGATGATATCTCATTGTAGTTTTGATTTGCATTTCACTGATGATCAATGATATTAAGCACCTATTTATATGCCTGTTTACCATGTGTATGTCTTCTTTGGAGAAATGTCTGTTCACATTATTTGTCCAGTTTTTGATCAGATTATTAGATTATTTCCTATAGATTTTTTTCCTTATATATTCTGGTTATTAATACATTGTCAGATAGGTAGTGAGATCGTTTGGCTGTGTCACCACCCAAATCTCATCTTGAATTTTAGCTCCCATAATCCCCATGTGTCATGGGAGGGACCTGGTGGGAGGTAATAGAATCATGGGGGCAGATTTTTTCCCATGCTGTTCTCATGGTAGTGAATAAGTCTCAAAAGATCTGATGGTTTTATAAAGGGTAGTTTCCATGCACACTCTCTCTTGCCTGCCACCATGTAAGACATGCCTTTGCTCTTCCTTCACCTTCTGCCATGATTGTGATGCCTCCCCAATGATGTGGAACTGTGAGTGCATTAAACCTTTTTTTTTTTTTAATAAATTACCCAGGCTTGGGTATTTTCTTCATAGCAGTATGAAAATGGACTAATACATGTAGTTTTCTAATTTTCTCCCATTCTGTGGGTTGTCCCTTCACTTTGTTGATTGTATCCTTTGCTGTACAGAAGATTTTTAACTTGATGTGACCCTGTTTGTCCATGTTTGCTTTGGTTGCCTGTGCTTGTAGAGTATTACTCTTTTGCCCAGACCAACGTCCTGGAGAGGACATTGCATCTTTTCTTGCAGAAGTTTCATAGTTTGAGGCCTTAAAGTTAAGTCTTTAATCCATTTTGATGTGATTTTTGTATTTTGCAAGAGATAGGAGTCCAGTTTCATTCTTCTGCATATGGATATCCAGTTTTCCAAGCGCAATTTATTGAAGAGATTGTCTTTTCCCCAGTGTATGTTCTTGGCACCTTTATCAAAAATGTGTTTACTGTAAAGGTGTGAATTTGTTTCTGTGTTCTCCATTCTGTTTCATGTGTCTGTGTGTCTGTTGTATTGCCAGTACCAGGCTGTTCTGGTAACTGTAGCTATGTAGTATAACTTTAAGTCAGGTAATGTGATTTCCTCAATGTTGTTCCTTTTGATTAGGATAGTTTTGGCTATTCTGAGTCTTTTGTGGTTTCATATAAATTTTGGGAATTTTTTTTCTATATCTGTGAAGAATTATCTTGGTATTTTGATAGGGATAACATTGAATCTGTGAATTGCTTTGGGTAGTAAGTACATTTTAACAATATTGATTCTTCCAGTCCGTGACCATAAAATATCTTTCCATTTCTTGGTGTACTCGTCACTTTCTTTTATTATTGTTTTATATTTCTCTATATGGAGATCTTTCACCTATTTGGTTAACTACTAGGTATTGACTTAAACAAATACTTATTGTAAGTGTGTCTATTGTAAATGGGATTACTGTTTTATTTCTTTTTCACACTGTTCACTGTTGATATATAGAAATTCTACTGAGACTGAGTTGTGTATGCTGATTTTGTATCCTGCAACTTTACTGAACTTGTTTACATTTCTAGTAGTTTTTTGTAGAGTCTTTAAGCTTTTCCAAATATAAGATTATATCATTTGCAAAAAATGGATAATTTGAATTATTTCATATCAATTTAAATGCACTTTATTTTGTTCTCCTGTCCAATTACTCTAGTTTAGGACTTTCAGTACTATTTTGAAAGACAGTGGTGAGAGTGGGAATTCTTCTTGTGTTACAGGCCTTAGAGGAAAGGCTTTTAGTTTTCTCCATTGAGTATGAAGTGGGTCTGTCATATAATGCTTTTATTATGTTGAGGTATGTTCCTTCTATACTCAGTTTTATGAGGGTTTTCTCATGAAGGAATGTTGAATTTTATCAAATGCTTTTACAGCATGAGTTCAAATGATCATATGATTTTTGTTCTTCATTTTGTTGTTGTGATCTATAACATTGAATGAATTGCCTATGTTGAGCCATCCTTGCATCTCAGGGATAAATTCCACTTGAACATGATGAATGCTCTTTTTAATGTGTTGTTTAACTCAGTTTGCTAGTATTTTGTTGAGGATTTTTGCATCAATATTCACTAGAGATACTAGCCTGTAGTTTTCTTTTTTTATTTGATGTGTCTTTGTCTGTTCTTTGTATCACAGTCATACTTGCCTCATAGAATGAGTTTTGAATTCTTCTCTCCTCCTCTATTTTTTAGAATAGTTTGAATAGGGTTAGTTTTAGTTTTTCTTTAAATATTTGGTAAAATTCAGCAGTAAAGTCAGTAGGTCTTGAGCTTTTCTTTACTGGGAGGTTTTTTTACATCTTTGATGTCATTACTTATTATTGGTCTGTTCCAGTTTTGAATTTCCTCCTGGTTTAATCTTGGTAGTTCATATGTATCTAGGTATTTGCCTATTCTTTCTGGATTTTTCTATTTTGGGGCATATAGTTATGCATACTAGCCGCTAATAATTGTTTGAATTTCTGCAGTTTCATTTGTCATGTCTCCTTTTCTATCTCTGATTTTATTCACTTGGATATTATCTCTTTTTCTCTTAGTCTGACTAAACATTTGGCAATTTTGTATAACTTTTCAAAAAAGAAAACTTTTTGTTTTATTGATATTTTGTACTGTTTTCTTCATTTTAATTTCATTTATTTCTGCTTCTGGTTTTATTAATTATTTTCTTCTGCTACTTTAAGATGCGTAGATTGTTTATTTTGATGTTTTTCTTTTTTTTTTTTTATTTAAACCCTCATAAGCTATAAACATTCCTCTTAGTACTGCTTTTGCTGATTCCCATAGGTTTTGGTATGTTGTGTTTCCACTTTCACCTGTTTCAAAAAATTTATTGATTTCCTCCTTAATTTCTTTTTTAACCCACTGGTCATTCAGGAGCATATCGTTTAATTTCCATGTATTTTTATAGTTTCCAAAATCCTCATGTTGTTCATTTGTAGTTTCATTTTATTGTGGTCAGAGAAAATGCTTCCTATTATTTCATTTTTTACCTCCCAGTAAAGAAAAGCTCTTTTTTTTTTTTTTTTAGTGTTTTAAGACTTGCTGTGTAACCTAACATATAATCTCTTCTTGAGAAGTAGCCATGTGCTAGGGAGAAGAATGTGTATTCTTCAGCCATTGGATGAAATGTTCTATAAGTATCTGTTATATCTATTTTACCTATAGTGAAGCTTAAGTCTTAAGTTTTTCTTTTCTGTCTGAATGATCTGTCCAATGCTGAAAGTGGGGTAATGAATATCCAGTTATTATTGTATTAGGGCCTAACTCTCTCTCTAGCTCTAATAATATTTGCTTTATATACCTGGTTGCTCCAGTGCTGGGTGCATATATATTTACAATTATCATATTCTTTTGTTGAATTGATCTTTTATCACTATACAGTGACCTTTCTGTTCTCTTTTTATAGTTTTTGTCTTGAAATCCATTTTGTCTGATATCAGTATCCCTACTCCTGCCCTTTTGTTGTTTCCATTGGCATGGAATGTACTTTTTCCATTCCTTTATTTTCAGTCTAAGTGTGTCTTTAAAAGTGAATTTTGTTTCTTGAAGGCAACAGAACAATGGGTCTTATTTTTTCATACATTTAGCCAACAGCCAGTTGATTTCTTTTGATTTGAAAATTTAGTCCATTTACATTGAATGTTATTATTTATAAGCAAGAATTTACTCCTGCCATTTTGTTATTTGTTTTCTGGTTGTTTTGTGTTCTTCTCTTCCTTCTTTCTTTCCTCCTTGACTTCCTTTAATGAAAATGATTGTCTCTGGTGTTATAATTTAGTTCCTTGCTTTTTAATTTTTGTGTATCCATTATATATTTTTTGATTTCACGTTACCATGAGACTTCTAGATAGTATCTTATAACCAATTATTTTAAACTGATAACTACTTAAAACAGTTTGCATAAATGAACAAACAAGCAAAATGATAATAAAAATTCTTTGACTTAGGACAAAAAATCAAACACCACATGTTCTCACTCATAGGTAGGAATTGAACAATGAGAACACATGGACACAGGAAGGGGAACATCACACACCTGGGCCTGTTGTGGGGTGGGGGGAGGGGGGAGGGATAGCATTAGGAGATATACCTAATGTTAAATGACAAGTTAATGGGTGCAGCACACCAACATGGAACATGTATACATATGTAACTAACCTGCACGTTGTGCACATGTACCCTAAAACTTAAAGTATAATAAAAAATAAATAAATAAATAAAAAGACAAAAAAAATTCTTTGCCTTAAACTCATGTCCCTGGATTTTAATTTTTTGTCATATCTATTAATGTATTTACTGTATTGTATATGTCTTCAAAAGTTAGTGTAGCTATTATTTTTGATTGGTTAATCATTTAATTTTTCTACTTAGGATAAGAGTCGTTTATGCGCCAGCATTACAATGTTATAATATTCTGTATTTTTCTGTGTACTTAGTATACCAGTGAGTTTTGCACATTCAGATGATTACTTATTACTCGTTAAGGCCCTGTTTTTCTGATTAGAGTACTCCCTTAACATATCTTGTAGGAGAGGTCTAGTGTTGATAAAATCCCTCAGCTTTGGTTTGTCTTGGAGTGTCTTCGTTTCTTTTTCTTACTATTGTAAGATAAAAGTTGTTTTTGTTTGTTTGTTTTTTCTTCAGCACTTTAAATGTGTCATGTCACCTGTAGTATTCCATTTTCATGCTGCTGATAAAGGCATACCTGAGACTGGATAATTTATAAAGAAAAAGATGTTTAGTAGACTCACAGTTCCACGTGGCTAGGGAAGGCCTCACAATCATGGTGTAAGGTGAAAAGCATGTCTTTTTTTTTTTTTTTTTTTTTTTTTTTTTTTTTGAGATGGAGTCTTGCTCTGTCACCCAGGCTGGAGTGCAGTGGCGCGATCTCGGCTCACTGCAAGCTCTGCCTCCCGGGTTCACACCATTCTCCTGCCTCAGCCTCCCGAGTAGCTGGGACTACAGGCACCCGCCACCACGCCCGGCTAAGTTTTTGTATTTTGAGTAGAGACAGGTTTCACTGTGTTAGCCAGGATGGTCTCGATCTCCTGACCTCGTGATCCGCCTGCCTCGGCCTCCCAAAGTGCTGGGATTACAGGCGTGAGCCACTGCGCCCGGCCTGAAAGGCATGTCTTACATGGTGGCAATGAAGAGAGAATGAGAAGCAAGAGAAAGGGGTTCCCCCTTATAAAACCATCGATCTTGTGAGACATATTAACTACAATGAGAACAGTATGGAGAAAACCACCCCCGTTATTCAATTATCTCCCTCGCACAACATGTGGGAATTATGGGAACTACGATTCTAAATGAGATTTGTGTAGGGACACAGCCAAACCATATCACCACTCTGTCCTCCCTGTAAGATTTGCACTGGATGTCTGTTGCCAGATATATTGGCGTTCCATTGTATGTTATTTGTTTATCTTATTTTACTACTTTTAGAAACTTTTCTTTATCCTTGATTTTGAGGATTTGAGGTACCTCTAAACTCTTACTTTGTGTTATCTGTCTAAATGGTCACATCTCTGTTTCTTCAGGATTGCTCCCTGTGATGGTTAATATTGTCAACTTGATTGGATTGAATTATGCAAAGTATTGTTCCTGAGTGTGTCTGTTAGGGTATTGCCAAAGGAAATTAACATTTGAGTCAGTGGACTGGGAGAGGCAGATCCACCCTCAATCTGGGTGGACATCATCTTATCAGCTGTCCACATGGCTAGGATAAAAGCAGGCAGAAGAAGTTGGAACGAGCAGACTTGCTGAGCCTTCCAGACTTTATCTTTCTTCAATGCTGGATGCTTTCTGCCCTTGAACATTGAACTCCAAATGCTTTTGGACTTTTGGAATTACACCAGTGGTTTGCCATAGGCTCTTGGGCTTTTAGACACAGATTGAAGTCTGTATTGTCAGCTTCCCTACTTTTGAGATTTCTGGACTCAGACTGGCTTCCTTGCTCCTCAGCTTGTAGAAGACCCGTTGTGGGACTTCAACTTGGGATCGTGTGAGTCAATACTCCTTAGTAAACTCCCCTTCATATATACATCTATCTTATTAGTTCTGTCCCTCTAGAGAACCCTGACTGATACTGTCCCTGATGCCTTCTTTAGTTAATTTGGTAAGCTCACGTTCTCCTGAAACGTCTTGATAGTTGTAGATGTTCATCTGTGTCTGGACATTGAAGAGTTAGGTATTTATTGTAGTTGTTACTCTCTGGGCTTTTTTCTACTTGTCTTTCTTGGGAAGGCTTTCCACATATTTGAAAGGACATGGGTGATGTGCTGTAAGCTGTATTCACCTTAGGGGAACCCAAAGCCCAGTATCACTGGGGTTTTTGAAGTTTGTACAGTTAACATCTTGTTGGTCCCTTCAGGACTGTGGGCTCCACTGTGGCCCCAAGCAGGTCCATAAATGCCAACAAAGTGCCAAATTCTGGAATCAGAGACTCCAAGAGCCTGCTTAATGTTCTATCCCTATGTTGCCGAGCTGGAAACTGAAGTCAGCAAGTCTAAGAGGCCCACCCAAGGCCCTCTATATATTATGCACGTATTGCTGCTCGTTATGCAGGGCCCGAGGGCTCTTCAGTTAGCAGGTGATAAATCCTGCCACATCTGTTTTTGTTTTTCTATCAAAGAAGCAAGTTAATTTCTGACCCAGGGTGTGTCAAAAAATGTCCTCCAGGGCCTAGGTCCTGGAAAGTGTGCCTTTTGACTTTAACTGTTGCCCTATCCTCCATTACCCGAGCTGCTATCCAAAATGCAAGACCACGATGTCCCCACTCTTCCCTCTCCTCCCCTTCACGCATAAGGTGAAGGGGTTTCTTTTGGAACCACAAGCTTTGTAGCCTTGGGTAGGGGTAGGGGTAATGTCAGCACCCCTTTAGCCACCGTGGCTAGTGTCTCAATAGGTTGTGTTTCCCTCAAGTCTCTTGGCCCTATTCAGCACTAGTTCTCCTGTAAACATTGTGGTTCTTGTGTCCTAGACTGTGTTTCATATTTTTAGAACCTCAGGGTATTTTAGACCTTGGTAGTGAGTCTTGCATGAACTCAAGTTCTGGCCACTGGGATTGACAATTTCCCTCTGGTTAGGGTCGATTTAAACTCTCTCTCTTTGGGCTGATGTCTGCTAGGTTTGGTCTGGTTTTCCTTTGCTGTAATAGGACAGCAATGAATTCAGTGCCTCAAAATTGCTGCACTCTCTCTCTGCCAGCACACAGTAATGCTCTCCACAGCCTCTGTTGAGGCTGAAGGAAGAGTGGTGTGGCGTCAGTGATTCAAGACTGTTGTGCCTACCTCTTCAGTACCACCTCTTTCAGCAATATGAAGTGAAAACCAGATATTTTAAGTGCTCACCTGAGTTTTAATTCTTATGAAGGTGCTTATTTATTGTGTAGACAGTTGTTAAATTGGGTTCCTTACAGGATGGATTATCAGTGGAGCCATCTATTCCACCCTCTTACAAAACCTCCTCTGCTTAAAATAATAACTACAATAACATTAAGGAATACTCACAATATAGAACGATATAAGTTATGACATTTAAAAGAACATGTGTAGGGGGTGGACATACAATGATATAATTTATTTAGGAAATGGAAATTAAGTTGCTATTAGCTTAAAATAGCCTATTACAACTCCAAAATGTTTTATGGAATTCTCATGGTAACCAGAAAGCAAAAAAAAAAAAAAAAAAAAAAAGGAGATATACAGAAGAATAAAATTAGGAATCAAAGCATACTACCAAAGAAAATCACTCAACTACAAAGAAAGACAGCAAGAGAGGAAGAAAGGAACAAATGATCTACATAACAACCAGAAAATGTTAACAAAATAACAGAAGTAAGTCCATACCTATCAATGAATTCATTCTCTAAACAAAATCCATAGTGTTTAAATGAATAAAACACTACTTAATTGTATGCTACTCATGAGAGACGCACTTCACAGTGAAGACACGTATACATTTAAAAAATGATAGAAAAGATATTTCATGCAAATGGAAATCAAGAGAACAGAGTTAGCTATACCTATATAAGACAAAATGGACATTAAGTCAAAAGCTATACAAAGTGAAAAGAAGGTAATTAAATAATGATGAAGGGGTCAATTAATCAAGAAGATAAACTGATTGTAAATATATATACACCCAATATCAGAGCACTTAAATATGTAAACCAAATATTAGTACATCTGAAGGGAGAGATAGGCTGCAATATAGTAATAATAGAAGATATTGATACCCAACTTTAAACAATGGCCAGATCATCAAGACAGAAAATCAATATGGAAACATCGAACTTGAACTATTGAGTAAATGAACAAAGCAGACATACAGAACAGCCCTTCCCACAGCACTGGAATACACACTCTTCTCAAGAAAACATGAAACAGTCTCTGGGATAGATCATGTGTTAGGCCACACAACATGTCTTAACAAATTTAAGAAGACTAAAGTCATATGAAATATTTTTTCTGACCACAATGTTATGAAGCTAGAAATCAATAACCGAAGGCATTTTGGAAAATTCACATATATATGGAAATTAATACACTCCTGTACAATAAATGAGTCAAAGATGAAATTAAAACAAATTAAAAGAACACATTGAGAAAAATGAAAAGGGGAAAAGAACATACCAAAATTTAAGTGATGCAGGAGAAGTATTCCTGAGAGGGATGCTTATAGCAATAAATGCCTATGTCAGAAAAGAAGAAAGATCCCAAAAAAACTAACGTTACATCTCGAGGAACTAGAAAAGGTAAAACAAACTAAGCAAAAGTTAGTAGAAGGAAGAAAACACTAAAGGTCAGAGCAGAAATAAAGAAAATAGAGACCAGAAAAACAACAGAAAAGATCAATGGAACAGAGTTCTTTTTTTGAAAAGATACACATAACTGATAAATCTTTAGCTAGACTATGAAAGAAGAAGATGCAAGTAAATAAAATCAGAACTAAAAGAGAAAACATTACAATTGATACTACAGAAATACAAAATATTGTAATTACTATGAATGATTATACACCAAAAAATTGTGTAACCGAGATGAAATGGACAAATTCCTGTACACATACAGCCTACCCAGACTGAATCACGATGAAATAGAAAATGTGAATAAGCCAATAAGAAGCAAGGAGATTGAATCGGTAATAAAATGTCTCATCAAAGAAAAGCCCAGGACCTGATAGTTTCACTGCTTAATTCTACAAAAGTTTTAAAAAAGAATGAATATTCATCTTTCTCAAACACTTCCAGAAAATTGAAGAGGAGTAAACAGTTTGAAATTCATGTTACAAGGCCCGAAATACCCCAAGACTAAAGCCAGAAAACAACACTACAAAAAAGAAAATTATAGGCCAATTTTTGTGATGTTAATAGATCCAAAAATTCTCAACAAAATACCTAGCTACCAAATTCAACAGTACATTAAAAAGTTCATTACTATGATTGAGATTTATCAAAGGGATGCAGGGATGGTTGAACATATATAAATCAATAAATATAATACAGCAGTATAACAAAATGAAATATAATCTGCATCTCAATAAATGCAGAAAGAGCATGTTATAAAATTTAATATTCATTCATGGTTAAAAAAGAACTCTCAACAAATTATGTATAGGATAAATATACCTCAAAGCTGAAGAGCTTCTGCACAACAGGGGAACTAATTTACAGAGTGAAGAGACAACATATGGATTGGGAAAAATATTTGCAAACCATACGTCTGATAAAAGGTTAATATACAAACTACAAAGGGAACTAAAAGTAGTAGCAAGAAAATTAATAGCCTGATTAAAATATGAACAAAGGAACCAAATAGACATTTCTTTAAAAAAAAGACATACAGGCTGGGCGTGGTGGTTCACGCCTGTAATCCCAGCACTTTGGGAGGCCCAGGCAGGCGGATCACCTGAGATCCAGACCAGCCTGGCCAACAGGGAAAAACCCCCTCTCTACTAAAAATACAAAAAAAAAAAAAATAGCCAGGCGTGGTGGTGGGCATCTGTAGTCCCAGCTACTCTGGAGGCAGGAGAATGCTTGAACCAGGGAGACGGAGGTTGCAGTGAGCCCAGATCATGCCACTGTGCTCCAGCCTGGGCGACAGAGTGAAACTCCATCAAAAAAAAAAAAGAAAAGAAAGCATACAAATGGCCACCAGATATATGAAAAACTGCAAACTAAAACCATAATGAGATCATTACATCATGCCTATTAAAATTGTTTTTATAATAAAAGATGAAAGTTAACAAGTTTTGGTGGTGAGGATGTAGAGAAAAGGTAACACTTGTATACTGTTATTGTAAATATACATTAATACAAATATTAGGAAAAACAGTATGGAGATCTCTTAAAAAACTAAAAATAGAGCCACCAGGTGACCCAGCAAACTTATTTCTGTGTATATATTCAAAGGATTTGAAATGAATGTGTAGAAGAGATATCTGTACTTCCATGTTCATTGTAGCATTATTTACAATACTCAAGACAGAGAATTAACCTTAGTGCCTGTGAAAGGAAATTAAATCTCGGGACCCCAAACTCATTAAGCCAAAGGGAAGAAGTCAAGCTGGGAACTGGGACACACAAACCTGCCTTCCCCTTTTGGTTTTTAAAAAAGATGGCTACAAGATGGAAAGCTACATGTCACCCCTATTTTTGCCCATAAGAAAATTCCTAGTGAGCTGCAAGATCTTTTAAGGTGTTTCTGTTAAAATTTCACCATGGCAATGTAAATGGATAACTTACCTTTATAGGTGCAGTCACCCATGTCCCATCAGACACAAAGGCATATCTGATTTTTCCCCTGCCCCATTTTGTCTGTGTTATCTTATGTAAAACGTGGATTCCCTGCATTCTTCCTGTGCCCCATTTGTCTATGTCATCTCGTGTAAAAAAAATACAGATTCACTGAACCAAAGGCATTAATGACTATTTTTCCCTACCCGCCTCTTACATGAAAATTGTGTACTTCTCAATATCCGCCCTTTCCCCTTTAACTTCGGAGCCCTCAAAATCATCTTTGTAGAAAGGCATAGACCTGTCTCTCAGACACAAGTCCTTAACTTTGGCAAAGAAATCTCCTAAAATAATTGAGACTCTCCTTCTGTCTCGTCATTTTTCTCCATTGGCATGCCTATCAATGGATGAATAACAATGAAAATGTCATACGTATATGACATTTATATATATATATGTTTATACATATAGAAACAAAAACTGGTATTATTCAGCCTTTATCAAGAAAGAAATCCTTTCATTTATGACAACGTGAATGAATCTGGAAGTCATTGTGCTAAGTGAAATAAGTAAGGCCAAAACATTTACAAATCCTGCTTAATTTTATTTATATGTGGAATCCAAAAAAAGACAAACTCACAAAATCATAGTCGCTTAGTGGTTACCAGACTCTGGAGTTGGGGTAGCGAGGATTGGAATATGTTAGTCAAAGGGTACAAAGTTTCAGTTAGGCAGAAGGAATAAGTTCTTAAGGTCTATTTCACAGTAAGGTGATAATAGTTAATAATAATGTGTTGTATATTATTTCAAAATTGCTGAGAGTAAATTTCAAATGTTTTTACCACAAAAACTGATAAATATGTGAAATGACAGATATGTTAATTAGCTTGATTTAATCATTCCAAATATATACTTAAAGCATTACATTGTACTTCATGCTTATGTACAATTATAATTTGTCAATTAAAAATAAAATTAAAACATCATACATTAAGTAAAAAAGAGCAAAACATTCTTAAAACTCTGCAATAACAAGGCTAATTTTTAAAAGGACAAAAAGTCTTAATAGAGATCTCACCAAAGAAGATACATAGATAGCAAATAAGCATCTAAAAATATGCTCAACATCAGTTTTCATTAAAGAAATGCAAATTAAAACAACATGCAATACCAGTACTTACCTAAGATAATGACTAAATTTTGTAAAACAATAAAAATGGTAATAACAATTCCTGTAGAGTGTGGGGAGCAGCAACAGCTCCTATTTATTGATTAGGGAAATTCAAACTGGGACTGATACTTTGGAAGACAATTTGACACATTTTTAAAAGCTAAATGTAGCCTTATCATACAATACATCATTTGCACTCCTTAATGTTTACCCAAATGAATTAAAAATGTATGTCCACAGAAAAACCTGCACTCAATGTTTATAGCAGCTTTATTTGTAATCAGTATAACTGAAATCAACAAAGGTGTTCTTCAATAGGTGTATGGATAAACAAACTGTAGTATAACCATACAATTAAATATTATTCAGCAAAAAACGAATGACCTATCAAGTCCGGCAAACAAATGGGTGAATATTGTATCCACTGTTCTGTGTGAAATAGGCCAGTCTAGAAGAGCTACATACTGTACGATTCCAACTATATAATATTGTAAAAAAGTTAAGAATACTGACAGGGTAAACAGATCATGGTTGTCAAGGGTTCAGGGTGAGGAGCTTGAGTAGGTGAAGCACAAGAAATTATTTTTAATGGAAGTAAAATTATTTTTGTGTGATGCAGTAAAGGTGGTTACAAAATACTGCATTTGTAAAAATTCTTAAAACGTAACAGCACGTAGTGAACCATAATGTATGCAAATTTTCAAAGATTATTTAAGAGATTGGAGGATCCCATGCAGACTCTGACAAGAGAACCTAACTGTATTATATTTATATAATGTCTGAAACATCCTCAAAATGAGGGTGAGAGGAAAAGGTGAAATTTGAAAATAGAGGCAACTACATTCGCTGACTAAGCAACTCTGAAAAAGAATGGAGGCTATAAGACAAAAAGAACTGAAGGGAAACTATAGAAACACTGTGTTTTAGCCAACAAAATTGTTTCCTAATAGGTTATGAGTTAACAATTCTTATAGCACTATGTATGCATTAAACAATTTATTAAATGCATAGTGGATGATTGGAAGCCAGGTTTCTAACTGTTGGAATTAAAGATAAGGAAGAGAAGCAGGCTATAGTAATCTATGTGTAAATGAACTAGAATTAGAGACATCACTACGAACTCATGTTTAGCCTATTATAGATACAAATAGCTACAAATGGAAGGATTTACAGATATGTATATACACAAGAAGCAATATACGTAGTTATATTTCCTTGTACTGTTAGCTGACAGTGTCTAGAAGCAACAGCCCAGCGGCAATGTGCACATCTCGTTTCTAAATCTAATGTCCCTGTCCCATAAAAGGAACCAGGACCTTTTGTAGAAATGGCTAATTCAAAACTGAAGCAGGAAATATATAAGATGAACCTAGAGTATCTTGTAATGCCAGAAAGAAGTTACTTAAAAAGAAAGCTCACAACAGAAGTATGTCAATGGAAAAAGATGGGAGTCAACTGAAGAAATTTCCAGTGCCCCAAACTGAACAACTGGAGCAAAAAAAAAAAATGAAGCAATACTAAATCATAACCCCAAAGTATAAAATAAATATCCATAATATCATACTTATGTAAATAAATGACTGAATCAATAAGTTAAGGAGTAGAGAGACACATGCCTTGTAATGAATTCCAAATAATTTATGTAGATATTCAGTCCTCAAAGAGGGAAGCATAACTACCCACTCCTTAGGTACAGGCTATGCGCAGTGACTTTTTTCCAAAAAGTGGAGTATGGAAAAGGGTAATAAAAGAATAACTTTATGGTGGAGAAACCTAACACCATCTCAGCTCGACTACCAAGCTTAACATCAACAGTCATAAGTCTTGTTGATAGCCTGGGCCCTTGATATGATGAGAATTGCACTCTATTATCTATGGCCTTCCTGTCTAGATCTCATAGCCCCAGTCTGTGAGAAAGATATCCGGCAAATCTCAATAGAGAGACATCTTGCAAAATACATAACCAGTACTCCTTATTTTCAGTTAAGGTCATCAAAAACAAGGACAGTCTGAGAAATTTTCATAATCAAGAGTGGCCTAAGGAGACATGTCAACTAAATGCAATGTGGTATCTATCCTGGTTGGGATCCTGGAAGAGAAAAAGAATATGACTTAAAAAAAGTGACTACATCTGAATAAATCATGGACATTAATTAATTATAATTTATTGATTATAAATTATATTGAGTTCTTGAGTTGTGACAATTGTACCATACTAATATAATGGGTTAATAATAGAGGAACTGTGTATGTGCTTTTTAATATTTTTACCTAAATAAAAAAAAGCTTATTTAGGGAAAAATACATATATTGTTGAAACATGCATCTAGCTTCAGTTTCTGACAAGGCTGTTAACTTCCTGTCAAAAACTCAACCCTCAGATTGCCTCAGAGGCAAAAGTGGGTTAGAGGGACTGAAAAACTATCTAAAAATAGTGAGAAAAACCTGGAAAGCCAGAGGTAATTGGATTCCAGAGTGGGAGGAAATAGAAACATAGAGCAGGTAAAAGCCAGGTGCTCCAGACTGGGAATGTCACTGGAGAACATTTTTAAATAAATTAATAAATTATGTTATTTCCTACTTCTCCACACTGCCACAAGTGAATCATTCCCTGCCCTACTGTCACTGAGAACCAGAGAAACAAGAATATCAGCACTCTTTACCAGGTTATGACCAGGGCAGCATTTAAATCTGGCTTCAATTCTGAGAAATCAGTCATTCTATTTCTTCGGGGTCTAGTATGTGCCAGATACTGCTAGACACTGGATACAAAGTCGTAAAACAAAGAGAAAATAAATTGCTTTAATAGAAAGTACACTCCAGAGCACAAAGCCACCTAATATACTGTATAAATAAGTGAAATTTATAGCATGTCATGTGACAAATAGTCCTAATGAGAAAAATAAAACAAAAAATTACAGGTGAGTCGTGATATTGATTTTAGTTAAAATAGCCAAGGGATATCACAGCGGTGTCATGTGTGAATAAGAATTTGAAAGAAGTGAGGTACTGACCTTTCTAGACAGGGAAAATTTTATTCCATATAGAGGGAAGGGAAAGTGCAAAGGCTCTGAAGCATATTTTACATTTGTGGAAATAACAAGAATGCCAATGTGACTGGATCAAAGTGACTAAGAGTTAAAATAGCAGGAGGTAAAGTCATAGCGATAACAGCAAAGGGGACAGATTACATAAAGCTTTGTAGACTGTGGTAAAGACTCTGGGTCATAGGAAAAGCCATTGCAGGGTTCTAGGCAAAGAACAGACATGAACTGACTTATATTTCAACATAACCATTCTAGCTTCTGAGTGAAAATATACTGAAAAGAAAAAATGATAGAATTAGGAAGACTTTATATAAGGCTATTTTAACAATCTGGTAGAAAACAATGAAAGTAGCTTTGACTAGGGTGGTAGCTATGTGGATAGTAGGAAGGGGACATATCCTGGAAATCATTTGAAAATAGAGGCAACTATATTGGCTTACTAATTGAATCTGAGATATGAGTAAGAGATATCAAAGTTTTTTGCCTGAGGGTCTGGAAACATGGAGATGTGATTTCCTCAGTTGGGGAATAGTGTAGAAAGAGGAGCTTATGGAGAGCAAGTTCCAATAGAGATTCATTAAGTTTACAATATCTATTGGGAAATCAAAAAAAGTTGTTGAATAGACAGTTGATACAAGAATTTGGAGTTCAACAGAGAAATCATAGCTGGCAATATAAATTGAGGAGTCAGTGTATTGAAGAATTACTAGCCAAGAAAATGAATGAAACAACCAAGGGAGTGTGGAGATTGAAAACAGGAAAAGCTGGATGTAAGGGTCCTGAAGAGTTAGCATTAGAGATCTTTAATATAAGAGGTCAGAGATATAAAAAGAAACCAGCAAAGGAGACTGAGAAGTAGTAGCCAGCACAGTAGTCAGAAAGCCAGGAGAGTGTGATATACCAACAACCAAATGACAAAAGTGGAAACTAATAACTGTATCAAAAACTGTTTATGTATAAAGTAAGAATAAGTATGAGAATTAAATATTGGCTTAAACACTGTGTGAGGCACATGATGATCTTGACAATAACAGTTTCGGTGTAACACTGGAATCAAAACATGGCGGCTGGGCGCGGTGGCTCACGCCTGTAATCCCAGCACTTTGGGAGGCCGAGGCAGGCGGATCACGAGGTCAGGAGATCGAGACCATCCTGGCTAACGCGGTGAAACCCCATCTCTACTAAAAATACAAAAAATTAGCCGGGCGTGGTGGCAGGTGCCTGTAGTCCCAGCTACTCAGGAGGCTGAGGCAGAAGAATGGCATGAACCCGGGAGGCAGAGCTTGCAGTGAGCTGAGATCGTGCCACTGCACTCCAGCCTGGGCGACAGAGCGAGACTCCAGCAAAAAAAAAAAAAAAAAAAAAAAAAAAAAAAAAAACGCAAACATGGCTTACTTGTGTTTAATAAAACATAGACAAATGAAACTGGAGATATAGTGCGTAGGAGTTTTACTATCAAGGAATGGAGAAAAAAGAAATGGCATGTGTTTTAGTCCATTTTCACACTGCTATGAAGAAATATCCAAGACTGTTTAATTTATTTTTAAAAGAGGTTTAATTGACTTACAGTTCAGCATGGCTGGGGAGGCCTCAGGAAACTTACAATCATGGGAAAAGGGGAAACAAACACTTCCTTTTTCAGATGGTGGCAGGAGAGAGAAGAATAAGAGCAAAGCAAAGGGGGAAGCCTCTTATAAAACCATTAGATCTTGTGAGAACTTACTCACTTTTATGAGAACAGCATGGTGGAAACCATGATTCAATTACCTCCACCTGGTCCCTCCTATGACACATGGGGATAATGGGAACTACAATTTCATTATGGTCTTGATGTATTATGAAGATAAGATTTGGGTGGGGACATGGCTAAACCATATCATTCTGCCCCTGGCCCCTCCAAAATCTCCTGTCCTCACAATTCAAAACACAATAATGCCCTTCCAACAGACCCCCAACATCTTAACTCATTTTATCATTAACTCAAAAGTCCAAGTCCAAAGTCTCATCTGAGGCAAGGCAAGTCCCTTCCACCTAGAAGCCTGTAAAATCTAAAGCAAGTTAGCTACTTCCTAGATACAATGGGGATACAGGCATTGGGTAAACACACCATTCCCAAATGGGATAAATTAGCCAAAATAAAGGGCCTATAGGCCCCATGCAAGTCCTAAATCCAACAGGGCAGTCATTAAACCTTAAAGTTCTAAAATGATCTCCTTTGACTCCATGTGTCACATCCAGGTTGTACTGATGCAGGAGTTGGGATCCCATGGCTTTGGGAAGCTCCACCCTTGTGGCATTGCAGGGTACAATTCACCCCTGGCTGCTTTCACAACTGGCATTGAGTGTCTGCAGCTTTTCTAGGTGCACTGTGCAAGGTGTTGGTGGATCTACCATTCTGGGGTCTGGAGGATGGTGGCTCTCTTCTCACAGCTCCACTAGGCAGTGCCCCAGTAGGGACTCTGTGTAGGGGCTCCAATCCCACATTTCCCTTCCACACTGCCCTAGCAGAGGTTCTCCATGGGGCCTCTGCCTCTGCAGCAGACTTCTGCCTAGACATCCATGTGTTTCCATACATCCTCTGAAATCTAGGTGGAGATTCCCAAACCTCAATTCTTGACTTCTGTGCACCCACAGGCCCAACACCACCTGGAAGCTGCCAAGGCTCGGGGCTCGCACCCTCTGAAGTCATGTCCCGAGCTGTTCCTTGGCTTTTTTTAGCCATTGCCAGGGCAGCTGGGATGTAGGGCACCAAGTCCCTAGGCCACGCATATCAGGGGGTCCCTCGGCCGAGCCCACAAAACCATTTTTCCTCCTAGGACTCCAGGCCTGTAATGGGAGGGGTTGCTGTAAATGTCTTTGACATGCCCCGGAGACATTTTCCCCATTGTCTTGATGGTTAACATTTGGCTCCTCATTACTCATGCAAATTTCTGCAGCCTGTTTGAATTTCTCTCCAGAAAATTGATTTTTCTTTGCTATTGCATTGTCAGCTGCAAATTTTCCAAACTTTTATGCTCTGCTTCCTCTTGAACTCTTTGCTGCTTAGAAATTCCTTTCACCAGATACCCTAAATTATCTATCTCACGTTTAAAGTTCCACAGATCTCTAGGGAAAGGGCAAAATGCCACCAGTCTCTTTGCTAATATATAGCAAGAGTCACCTTTATTCCAGTTCCCAAAAAGTTCCTCATCTCCATCTGAGACCACCTCGGCCTGGACCTCATTGTCCATATCACTATCAGCATTTTGGTCAAAACCTTTCACAAGTCTCTAGGAAATTCCAAACTTTCCCACATCTTTCTGTCTTCTGAGCCCTCCAATCTCTACAAAGTTTCAAACTATCCCACATTTTTCTGTCTTTTTCTGACCCCTCCAAACTGTTCCAACCTCTGCCTGTTACCCGGTTCCAAAGTCGCTTCCACATTTTCAGGTACCTTTATAGCAGCATCCCACTACCTGGTGCCAATTTACTGTGTTAGTCCGTTTTCATGCTGCTGTGAAGAAATATCTGAGACTGGATAATTTATAAAGAAAATAGATGTAATTGATTCACAGTTCAGCATTGCTAGGAAGGCCTTAGGAAACATACAATCATGGTGGAAGGGGAAGCAAACATTTACTTCTTCACATAGTGGCAGGAGAAAGAAGAATGATAGCCAAGTGAAAGGGGAAGACCTTTATAAAACTATCAGATCTTATGAGAACTTACTCACTATCACAAGAATGCCATGACGGAAACTGCCCCCATGATTCAATTATCTCCACATGGTCTTCCACAACATGTGGGGATTATGGGAACTGCAATTCAAGATGAGATTTGGGTGGGGACACAGCTAAGCCATATCAGCATGTCACTAAGTTGTTGATATAAATTATATGATCAAAAATAGAATATTGATGATGCAGGTTGTAAAGAGAATAATTGTTGGAAGTTATGGCCGGAAGTAGACAAGAAAAATGAAATTTTCTTTACAAGTGCAAATGTTGGCCTTAGCAATAAGCACAGATTTTTCATCCACAGTTAATGAAGGAGAAGAAGATTCTGTGCATACAGATACCAGCTTCTAACGATGAAGATATTTCTTTGGAGAGATCTCTTGCCCTACTGGGAGTCTCCATCCTCACCTTGGGAGAAATATATTATTTTCCTCAAGCCTCAGGAGAGTTGGTAAGCTTGATATGTGTGTCCTATTGCTGAGGTCCACCACGAACAGGGATACAGTTGTTGTTCTTGGCAATCTAGAGGGCTGTGGATGAGCTAACTTCTTTGGTGGTAGAGCCAGAAAAATGTTGCCTAATTAGAATCAGCTGACTCGACTAGGATGGAGCAAAAGTTGCACAGCATTTCCCAAGGTTGTGATGTGGGCCCCATTTGAGAAGAAACCAGAGTGGAATGAAATACTTATATTGAATAGTCATCACTAACGTTAAAATGTCTGGGATATGGATAAAGTAGTAGTCAGAGAAAACTTTATAGATATAAATGTATTTATTTTTTAAGAAAGAAACAAATGAGTGAAATTTAAGTAAGTAAAGAAAGTAAGTAAAGTACTTTAGTTATGTAAATCCAAAGATAAATAATAAAGTGAATCTATAACATTAAATAATATTATTACAATAAAAGCTGGGGTATTTGGAGACATTAGTAAGACAGAAAAATCACTGACAAGTATAAGCAGAAAAGATGCAAGACATACACATATAAATGGCAGAAGGAATGGAAAAAGAAAAACAAACATAAATACCTACAAACAAAACCAAGATTTTTAAAAATGCTAAGATAATAATAGCATTATGAACAACTTTATGTCAATACATTTATAAACCAAAAGATACAAGTGAATTTCTGAAAAGATATACCATCTTAAAAGTGGCAGAAGAAACAATTTTTAAAATTATGATTAGACAAGCAACCATTAAAAATTTAAATGTTGATAAAAGATGCTCCATTAAAAAAAAAAAAAAAACTTTAAGTTAAACTTCCACTACTAGCCATGACAGAATAAGTGTTACTAAAATTGCTATTTTGCCAAAACGGTTTTAAAAGTGACAAAATAAATGAGGCACTGGTTTTCAAGCATTGCATATCAGGCAGTACTATAATTATCAAGAGAAGGAAAAGATACAAAATGGCCCAACCCCACCCCTTTACATTTCTGGATTTCTTTCTGGGAGAACTTTCTTTCTACAACACCAGGAGGTAGATCCAAAGTGAAGTAATGGGAAAAAATGACCTTAGGAGGCTGCTATGATCTGAATATTTGTATCTCCCCGCAATTCAGATATTGAAACTAACCCCTAATTTGATGGTATTAGGAGGAATGGCTTTGGGGAGGTGATTTGGTCATGAGGGTGGGGCCCTTATGAATGGAATTAGTGTCCTTATAAAAAGAGACATCAGAGAGCTCCTTCACCCTTTCTACCATGTGAAGACACAGCAAGAAGGCACTGTCTATAAACCAGGAAGTAGACCCTCTGAGTATCCCTTCAATGTGGACTTCCCAGCCTCCAGAACTGTGAGAAGTAAGTTGTTGTTGTTTATATCTACCCAGCTTATGGTATTTTCTTATAGTAGCTCAAATGTACCAAGAGACAGAGATAAGAGTTCTGGTCTGCTGAAGCACCTGGAATTTTTTTTGAGGCAAAGTACTAGAAAACAGTAAGACATTCAGAAAGTGGATTCCTTATGTCTGGGTGGGAATTTATCATGAGTCCTTGACTAACATACGGACTAGACCTGTACTGGATGAGAACTCCACAAAGCCTAAGAAATATTGTCTGCTGTGTGCCTACCAGCTGAAACAGATGTTTGGCAAGGCTGGGAGATGTAGTTCTGACCCAAGTAGAGGTGTAAGACCTCATTGAATACCTCTGGAATTCAGTTGAGACCATTAAAAGACTACTATTTTGGAATAATAAACCAAAGTATGGTCCGTGATGTAGGACTAAGTTGAAAACAGAAATAGATTAGGGAAATCACCAATGTGACAGGACCAAAAGGCTCTGAAAGTAATATAACTGCCTGCCAGATTAAATATCAACACTTTTTAAAGAAAGTGCCATGATCTAGATGCCCTACAACACGCAAGTAAAATAAGAGATGGCCTTACATAATACTTTGTCTTGAATTGAGGAGTGTTATTCAATCAGCTCTCTGTATATCAAGAAAATTATAATTAGTGCTGTTGCATACACCTTTTTTCTTTGTTAAAAAAAGCTTTCGGATGGAAATGTGAGGTGTGGCAAAACATCAACCACGATATACAGTTTACGATAAAAATTACTAGATATATGAAGTAGGGAATTTGACAATAAGTAGCCTAAACAAATAGATATCGATATGCTACACATGTTAAAATTGGCCTATATTTATATGTATGTGTGTTTGTGTTTTAAGTAGCAGTTACAAACAAGTTTTAGTGACATTAAAGAAGACGTAGCAATGAGTTAATAGATTGTGAATCACGGCAGGCAAATGAAAACTCTAAAAAAGTATCAAATGGAAATAAAAATGGAAAAGTTTACTATGTGAAATGAGAAGATAATAAAATCAAGTTATCTAGATCATGAATAGATCTAAGAAGCTCATTATCCTCAAAGCAGGAAAAGTGCACTGAAAAGCATATGAGGGCACATCATGGTGAAACTTCTAAAACGCAAAGACAAAAAGCAAACCTTTAATACTACCAGAATAAAAAGACACACAGATAAGAATAATGATAAAAATGAAGACTGATCAACAATGCTTAAGGAAACGATGGTCTTTTCAATAAATGGTGCTGGTAAAACTGCATAACTGCATGCAGAAAATATGAAATGAAATTGGATCCTTATCATAAACAATACACACAAATCAACCCAAAATATATTAAAGAGTTAAATGTAAAAATTGAAAGTATAAAATCCCTGGAAAGAAATATAAGGGAAAGGCCTATGACATTGGTCTTGGCAATGATTTTTTTTATATGAAGCCAAAAGCCTAGGCAACAAAGCAAAAATAAACATGTGGAACTTAAACAACCTGAAAAACTTTTGCAAGGCAAAGGAAACAGTTAGTAAAATAAAAAGACAATCTATGGAATGGGAAAAGAATACTTGCAAACCACATATCCACTAAGGGGTTAAATACCAAAATATTTAAGTAACTCATTAACTCCATGGCAAAAAAGCAAACAACTCAATTTAAAATGAGCGAAGGACCTGGATCAACATTTCTCAAAAAAGACATACAAATTGCCAATATGTATATGAAAAAGTGTTCAATATTACTAAGCCTCAGGGAAATGCAAAACCACAATAACATTTCACATCTGTTAGAATGGCTACAATCAAAAAGACAAAAGATAACAAGTATTGGTGAGGGTGTGGAGAAAAGATAATCCTTGTACTCTGTTGATGGGAATGTACATTAGTACAGGCATTATAGAAAACTGTGTAAAAGTTCCAGAAAATAAAACTAGGACTACCATATCAACTAGTCATGTCACTTCTGGGTATATATCCAAATAATTGAATTCAGTGCCTCAAGACTAATGTGCACTCCCATGTCATTACAACATTATTCACAACAGACAGGATGTGGAAATAAGCTAAGTATCTATCAAGGAATGGATGGAGAAAATGTGGAGTGTGCATGTGTGTTGATGTATACATACGATGGAATATTATCCAGATTTCAAAAACAAGAAAATCTTGTATTTGTAAGAACATGCATATACCTGGAGGCTGTTATGCTAAGTGAAATAAGCCAGGCACAGAAAGACAAACACTGCATGCCTGATCTCAGTGATATGTGGAATTTTAAAAACTGAAATACGTAGACACAGAGAGTAGAACCCTAGATACCAGGAGTTGGTTGGTGACAAATAAGGAGATATTGGTCAAAGGACACAAATTTTCAGCTATAAGTAAAATAAGTTCTGGAGACCTAACGCATAGGATGACTATAGTGACTATAGTTAATAATAATGTATGCATGAAATTTGCAAAGAAAACAGATCTTAAGTATTCTCATTGCACACACACAAGCGTAACTGTGTGAGATGGTAGATATGTTAATTAGCAAGATTGTTATAACCGTTTCACAGTATATGTATGTCAAAAAATCACATCATACACCTTAAATATATATGGCTTTTATTTGGCAATTATGCCTCAACAAAGCTGGAAAACCCCAAAATATCCACGGTACAATACTACTTATATAGCACTTAAAACATACAAATGAAGACTTAATCGGAAATGAGTATTTATCAGAAAGAAAGAAATGAGTGTGGGAATCAGAGACAAAGAAAAAAAATAAAATAGAATAAGAGAGGGGCTTTGCATGATCCTGTGCCTTGAAATGACGAGTATGATTAAATCAACTCTGTGTACATCAATAAAGTTATAATTAGCAGTCTTACATACATATAGACACACATATATCTATATATACACACACATATGTATACACAGATATATTTTGTTTGATGTTTTTGTTTTTTAATTTTTTAATGTTTAAGCTATGTGGGTACAAGGCAGGTGTGTATGTTTATGTGATACATGAGATATTTTCATACAAGAATGCAATGTGAAATAAGCACATGGTGGAGAATGGGGTATACATACCTCAAGCATTTATTCTTTGACAAACAATCTATTTACATTATTTGGGTTATTTTAAAACAAACAAGTTATTATTGACTATAGTCACCGTTATGCTATCAAATAGTAGGTCTTATTCATTCTTTCTATTTTTTAGTACCCATTAACCACATCCACCTCCTCTGAAGCCACTCCCCCACTACCATATGAGGCCTCTAATAACTGTCCTTCTACTCTCTATGTCCATGAATTCAATTGTTTTGATTTTTAGATCCTAAAATAAGTCAGAGACATGTGTTATTTGTCTTTCTGTGCCTGGCTTATTTCACTTAACATAACGATCTGCAGTTCCTTCCATCCCTGTTGCTACAAATGACTGGATCTCATTTTTCTTTTTAAGAAACTTTCTGAGAATATACACTACACACACATTATAACATTGCATGTTGTTTATTTTCTCACACATTCAAATGTTTCAGGTATTATTTCTGCATAGAAGCAGAAACCTCACCCAAGTCATTTAATCCTTATGATACTCCTCTGACACACAAGCCTTTCTACACTCCTTTTAATGATTACAAAACCCTGGGACTCAGAGATATTCAATAATTGGCCAAGATCTCTCAGAGAATAAGTGGTGAAGCCGAAGCATTAATGCGCAGTCCGTGTACTTATCCATTAAACAACATATTTTCTCTCAGCACAAAAAAACCCCCTGATATTATTTATTTATTTATTGGTGTTATATTCAGTTCTGTATGTTTATGTTTTTCTGCATATCTTATAATATGCTGTCTTCTCACATTCATAAACTAAATTCAAACAGTTGCTTTCATAAACACTTGGAGAAATGAACAAAGTTGATCTTTTAAATTTCTGTTTTATTGTTGAAGAAGTAAATGCTTAGTGTTGGAGGAATGAAGTAGTCTTAATCCCTAGTTCTTTGATAAAGAAAGTCTGTGTGAAGCAATGTTTGTAAACGAGAAATATATATGCAGAAAAGTCTCACAGTTGATGTGCATATGGTACATAAGATGTTCAAGTTAATTAATTTGCTTTGTGTATTTGTTAAATTTGATAAATATGGTGCTTCTTATCCTGTAGAAATTTTGTTACCAGAAAGTGACAAACAGTGAGCATTTAATCAGTACTAAGTCCACACCTATCATTTGTCTATTGTTCAGATCAGCAGCTTCCAATCAAGTTTAATTGTGAAATACAATTCCTGTGATATTTTCGGGTTCATTTCACTAAAAATAAATTTCAGTAAGTGCTTTCTGGTGAGACTAATTGTCCTTTACAGAATCACTCTCTTGATAGACACCATTACACAGGCAATTTCATTAGTAACTACAAACATTTGGGCAGTTAACATTTTTCTCTGCTTAAATTTGTATAGTATTCAATATTTTATTACCTACAGTCAGCCAAAAGAAAGATAAATGAACATGTTGGCTATTTACACTTCTAGAACACATTCTCAACTGCTTGCCACTTTTTCTAGAAAAGCCTAGTAGAACAAAATATTAATGTCACTCAGCCTCTCTGAAAACTTGAAGAATACAAAGATAATAAGGTGACCAGAAAGTAATGTCAAGAATTGTCCAGTCAAGTTATACCAAATAAAGTACAGTCTGTGGGAAGCCTTGTGAAGAAAATTGTATTACTAATTAGGCCCTCATGTCTGATGATATCTGCACTTACCATTATAAAGGTTGTAATTTATTTATTTTTATGTATTTGTTCCCTACTATGTTCTCAAGCTAATTAAGGAAATTTAAAAGTGTGCACACAATATGACACTATGAAATTCACATAAAAAAAAACTGAGACAAAATTAACTGTAAAGGAAAGCAAGTCGAAGCCCAGAGACACAACTTAAGAAATCCATAAACTAGGTGGGTCTAAGATTCACATCAGCCAATGTGAAGAGGGGATGTTATTACGCACAATATTCCCAGTATTCAAAACTTAAAAATTAGTTTCTCAGAAGAATATACAAACCATGGATCCTCAAAGATAAGACATTGTATTGTTAACAAGTATGCTTTTCCAAATACAAATCTTATTAACTTTTTAAAAACAGTAAGCAATCTGAATATATAATAATAAATGGGCAATCAACTATATCCATGCACCAATATTTTCAGCCAATTAAAAATGGTACTATAAAACTATTTATGATATTTGAAAATGTTCATAAATGTTCTCAATATAAGTGAAAAGGTAAAATATAAGAGTATGTACACTGTAATCCCAATTTTGTTTTTAAATTATATACATGCATACTTATGGAGAAACAAAATATAAAAAGTTAAACCAAAAAATTGTATAATGTGTAACGTTCATTGTATAATTGTATAATGGTTATCTCTGGGCTATAAGAAAACAGATAATTTTTATTTACATCTTTGGAATTTTCTGTCTTCAAGAAATTATTGCAATCGACCTCTAATATTTCTAGAACTAAAAGTAACAACTTAAAAAAATAGTTCTTTATATGTAGACAGCGGTACCTTGACTCATTTAGGTAAATACTTAGGAGTACAATTGCTGCATGGTATGGAAAAACAATGTTCAGCCTCGTAAGAATTTGCAAAAGTCTTCCAAAGTCATTATATCGTTTTGCATTCATGTGAGCAATGAACGAGAGATCTTAATGCTGCAAAAACGCTACAGCAATTTATATTGTCGGTTAAGTTTAGCCATTCTCATAATTGTATAGAGGTATCTTGTTGTTTTAATTTACACTTTTAATGGAAATTATGTTGAGCATATTTTCATATACTTATTTTCTGTCTATCTTCTTTGATGAGGTGTCTGTTCAGATATTTTACCCTATTTTAAGTTGGGTTGCTTGCTTTCTTCTTGTAGACTTTTATGAATTCTTTGTATATTTTGTGTACAAGTCCATTATCAGATGTGCGTTTTGCAAATGTTCAATGTTTTTTTCCATTATCCAATGACATTTTTCCACTATCTTAACTGTTTTTTACACAGAAGTTTTTTTGTTTTAATAAAATTCAACTTATCTATCTCTTCTTTCATTCAGTCTTTTGGTGTTACAACTAAAAACTCATAGTCCAACCCAAGATTAGGTAGATTTTTCCACATTATTTTTTTCTAGAAATGTTATAGTTTTGCATTTCACCTATAAATCTATGATCCATTTTGTGTTCATTTATATGTAACATATTGACATTGATTTTCTCCATGTTATGAGTTTTTTTTTCCTCAGTTAACTCAATGAGCATCTAACTAAAACAAAGAATCACAGTTTTCAGCAGACCTCATGATTTTCTTTTATTAATTTTATTAAATAATGAGATCTAGGCTTATTACTTATCAATAGTTTCATTTTTATTTCTATATTTAATAAAGTAAGAAAACATGAATATTTTATTAAATAATTACACAAATCCTGCAGATCAAAGATGGTGACACTAGTCAAGCTGAATTGTTGGCTGGATTGTGACCCACAATGTCATGGCTTTAAATGTTAATGTGTTGGCTGAGGAGGAAAAGTCTGGAGTAAGAGTTGAGATGTTTTTTGGTTTTTAATTTTAATGAAGTCCAACTTATAATTTTTTTCTTTCACGAGTGGTGCTTTTGGTGTTCTATCTAATAAATTATTCCCAAACCTAAAGTCACCTATATTTTCTCCTATGTTAACTTCTAGAAGTTTTTTGTTGTTGTTGTTTGTTTGTTGTGGGGTTTTATTTGTCTGGTTTTTTTTTTGTTTTGTTTTTTTGTTTTTTTGTTTTTTTTTTTTTTTGACATGGAGTTTTGCTCTTGCCGCCCAGGCTGGAGTGCAATGGTGCGATCTTGGCTCACTGCAACCTCAGCCTTCCGGGTTCAGGCGATTCTCCTGCCTTAGCCTCCCGAGTAGCTGGGATTATAGGTGCATGCCACCACACCTGGCTAATTTTGTATTTTTAGTAGAGATGGGGTTTCACCATGTTGGCCAGGCTGGTCACGAACTCCTGACCTCAGGTGATCCACCCACCTCGGCCTCCCAGAGTGCTGGGATTACAGGCATGAGCCACCGCACCTGGCTTAACTTCTAGAAGTTTTATAGTATGACATTTTATATTTAGGTTTATGATCTATTTTGAGTTAATTTTGGAAATAATTCATGTCAGTGTCTAGGTTAATTTTTGTGTGTAGATATCCAGTTTTTACGGTACTATTTTATGAAGACTATCCTGTCTATTAATAGCAATTATATATATCTATTTAATATTTAAATAGAAAATATAATTTATTTTTAAGGTCTGGATCAAATAACTGAGTATTACAACCATCTTCATATCCTGGAAATCATACTATTGAAGTTGCCAGTTTCTCTTCTTTCACATTAAACTCTGAGATAAATAGGAATCTGGCATTTTCAGAGTGATAAACCCAGCACCTAGCACAGTACCTGGGGCATAGCAGGAGCTCAATACGTATTTTAAAAATGCATGAATGTTACATCCAGAGCCATGTAAATTTAATATCAGCTTAAAAGTTAAGTGATTTAATCAAAATTATTCAACATTAAGGTATTTCTAAAAATTCATGTGCGATTGTGAGTTGCGATGTAGTCAACAGGTGGTACATAGTTTAATCTCTTTACCCATACTACCTGAAAATACTAAATTCAAGATAAAAAACAAAAATCTGCAAAGTTAAAACAGCTTTGGAAAGTAAGGATATCAATGAGTAATACGTTAATCCTCCAGAAAGAATTACCCTTAGAACAGATGGTCCCAATTGAAATAATTGGAAGCAAACCCATGCCTAACTTTCAAAAACACGACTGCACAGGGAAGAGGGAAAGAAACTTCCACCCACATCTCATATACAGTGATCAGAGAGTTGGAAGCCTGAGCTAAAGGTCCTAAGTGTGGCCTCTTGTATTCCTTGTTCTTGGAATCCACTTTACAAGCCACTCGGAATCTTTCTTGTACACTCCATGCCTGCTCCTAATGCAGTGGAAATTAAAAATAAGATAGCAAGCAAAATTTTACCAAGCAAACATATGCCAAAGGCAGGGCTAACAACATTATTTGCAAGAATATTCCAAGGCAAAATGTACTAAATGTGTCAAAGACGGTTATTTTATAGAGATTGCTTTGACTTTTTGTGGCAAATATATAAAATCAAGATCTATTTTATAGTAAGTGGAAATTGACAAAAATATAATAACTGGAGCTTTTAAAAAATATTCCTACTGTCACAAATAAATAATCAAACAAAAGTAGAACTGGAGCCATTGAACTTTTTTGGTAAAGGGGGCAATAGTAAATATTTTACGCTTTGCAGTATGCTATGCAACTCCACTGTTATAGTATGAAACCATTCATAAGATAATGTGTAAATGGATGGGCATGGCTGAATCCCTATAAATACTTACAACACAGGTGGCTATCCAGATTTTTCTTGTAGGTCATAATTTGCAAACCACTGATAAAGAAGATCTGAATAACATAATTAACATGGAGGAGTAGAGTGCAAACATGTTTGACCTATTTTTTAGAATATAAATGATATAAGTATTTATTTGTATAAATATAAATATGCTTTTTTATGAAAGCATTTATGGTACAATAAGATGCTAAATCACTTAGTAGGTCCCCAACAAAATAACTCAGTAAACTTGAAAAGTGTAAAAATGGGTAGGCCAAACTCTATGACCATAATACAATAAAAATAAAAATAGCACATTTAAAACAGAAGTTATTTACCATGTTTGGGAAATACAAAACTCTCTAGTGAATACATATTTAGTTAAAGAGAAAATCAAAATTACACTTTAAAAATGTTTAAAATATAGCAGAATATGAGTATTTGTGCTCCAACAATTATGCCAGCAATTGGGTATATCAGTCCGTGATGGTTAATATTAAGCATCAACTTGATTGGATTGAAGAATGCAAAGTATTGTTCCTGGGTGTGTCTGTGAGTGTGTTGCCAAAGGAGATTAACATTTGAGTCAGCAGACTGGGAAAGGCAGACCCACCTTCAATTTGGGCAGGCACAATCTAATCAGCTGCCAGCAGGGCCAGAATTAAAGCAAGCAAAAGAACATGGAAAGACTAAACTGGCTTAGTCTCCCAGCCTACATCTTTCTCCCGTGCTGGATGCTTGCTGCCCTCCAACATTGGACTCCAATTTCTTTAGCTTTGGGACTCTTGGACCTGAGACCACAGACTGATGGCTGCACTGTCGGCTTCCCTACTTTTGAGGTTTTAGGACTTGGACAGGCTTCATTTCTCCTCAGCTTGCAGGTGGTCTATTGTGGGACCTCACGTTGTGATCGTGTGAGTCAAAACTCCTTAATAAATTCCCCTTTATATGTACATCTATCCCATATCTTCCCCTTTATATATACATATATATTTCCTATAACTTTGTCACTATAGGTAAGACACTGTGCTTATAGTTTTAACTTACATTACTTCATTCATGAGGTTGAACATCTTTTCCACGTTCATTAAGCTTGGTTATTAGGAAAATATGTATAAAATAACATTTTCTTCCTGGATTTTGGCATTATATTTAATGGTGAAAAATTAAAACAGGAAGAAGAAAAGCACCACTTTGAAAATATAGGCAAGGCATTAACATATAAAATGGTTAAAATAAATATAATTATTGCAAAAGAGGATAAATTTTTATTTACAGAATTTATTATCATAATCAGAAATTAATTGAAAAACTATTAAAACAAATATTAGTTTCTATAGGTTCCACATACTTCTCACTCATATAGTTACAACAACAACTAGGGATTTATCTAAAGAGATATTAAAATATGGTTTTTGGTAAGAAATTTGAAAAGCTCATTTAAAAGAACAGATGGCCCTGAAACAGACTGAACGGCTCATTCATGCATGTGCTATTCTTCAGTCATATTGAACTTCTTTTCTTCCTTCTGTCCCTCTAATAACACACAAGCCCACTCCAATCTTCACATGTTTTTACTTTTTTCTCCTCTACTCAAAACCTCTCCTTCCTCTTTGTTATTGTCTGGCTTTTCCCTCATCTTTTCATGTTTCTTTTTATCTCCTCATTATACTTCCTGGATCATTTTTTTAATAGCCACCCCATTACAATTAGTCCGCTATTCCAGTGATTCTCAAAATAATTCATGGATCCATAGCATGGGCAACGTCTGGCCACTTGTTAGAATTGCAAAATATTAAGGCCTCATCCTAAATTTGCTGAATTAGAAATTATAGTGGAGGCAGAGCAAGTTGGCAGAATAGAAGGCTCTGCCAATTGTCCCCTCTGCAAGGACACACATTTAGCAACTATCTATAGAGAAAAAAAAAACACCTTAATAAGAACCAAAAATCAGGTGAGCCCTCTTAGTACCTGGTTTTAACTACATTTCACTGAAAGAGGCACTGAAAAGATGGGAAAAATAATCTTGAATCACCAATGCTACTCTTTCTCCACCCCTCAGCACTGGCAACTTGGTGCAGAGAGCATCTCTGGGTGTGGAGGGAGGAACACAGCAATTGTAAGGCATTGAACTTGGTGCTGTTTTGTTAAGAGCACAAAGGAAAACCAGAGAAAACTCAGCTGATGTCCACCCATGGAGGGTAGCAGTGAAACCAGCTCTAGCCAGAGTGGAATTGCCAATCCCTGTGGTCCAAACTTGTGTACTAGCAAACCTCACCACCAACGGCCAAAGTATTCTGGGTAAGTTCTCTAAGTAAACTTGACAAGTAGTCTAGACCATAAGGATGTTAAAATTAGGTGAGTTCTAGTGCTGAACTGGGCCAGGAGTCAGTGGCCTGGGGTTGGGGGGGGGGCATGTAATCCACTAAGATACCAACTGGTGTGGCTAAGGGAGGGATGCTATCACACCTCCCCTGAGCCCAAAATGCACAGCTTGTGGCTCCAAAAGAGATCCTTCCTTCCACTTGAGGAGAAGAGAGGGAAGAGTGGGGAGGACTGTGTCTTGCATCTTGGATACCAGCTCAGCCACAGCAGGATAGGATGCTGGTCAGAGTCACGTGGCACCTCTTCCAGGCCCTAGCTCCCAAAAGACATTTCTAGACAAACCCTGAGCCAGAAGGGAGACCCATGCCTTGAAGGGAAGGACCCAGACAGGGCCGCATTCATCAGCTGCTAACTGAAGAGCTTTTGGGTTCTGAAAAACCAGCAGCAATACCTAGGTACTATGTGGAGTGCCTTGGGTGAGCCTCTGAGAACTGCTGGCTTCATGTAAGATTCAGCAAATCACCAACTGTTGTGACTAAGAACTGAAACTTCTTAAGCTTGAGAAAAGCAGAGGAAAAATTTAAGGGGACTTTGTGTTGCACCATAGGTATCAGCAGGGCCAACGTGTGTAGTGAACCAAGTGGACACCTGGGGTCCCTGATTCAGGATTTGATTCATGGGCAAGATCTTTGGATCTTCCCTGAGCTAGACTAGAGCCCATTTCCCTGAAGGATAAGTCCTAGGCCGGGCAGAATTCACCACAAACTTACTGAAGAGCCCTTGGACATTAAAGGAACTTCAGTGACAGTCTGGAAGAACTCCTCATGGCCTGTGGTGGTGGTGGTGGCTATGGGGTGAGCCTCCTCTGCCTTTGGAAAGAGTAGGAAAGAGTGGGAAAGAATACATGCCTTGTGGTCTGAGTGCCAGCTTAGCTGCAGTACAATAGAATACTAGGTAGACTTCTAAGGTTTTTGACTCTATGTCCTGGAGTCCCTAACAGCAGCTCTGAACCCACCTGGGGCCTGCAGGAACTCACGGCCCTGAAGGGAAGGACACAGGCCTTGCTGGCTGTGCCAGCTGCTGATTGCAGAGCCCCAGGAAATTAAGCAAACATAGGCAGCAGCGAAGAAGTGGTTACAGCAGGCCTTGGGTGAAACCCAGTGCTATGCTGGCTTCAGGTTTGGCTCAGCACAGTCATACTGGTGGTGGCCACAGGGGTGCTAGTGTCACTCTGCCCTCAGTTTTAGGTGGTTGAGAAAAGAGAGAGAGACTCCGTTTCTTTGGGAGAAAGTAAGGGAAGGGAACAAGAGTCTCTGCTTGGTAATCCGGAGAATCCTTCCATATTTTACCCAAGACCATCAAAACACTACCTCTAAAAGTCTGCAAAAGCCACGTTGTTACTGGGATTGTGGTGTCTCCTAATGTAAATATGGCTTAGGTCATAATACCAAAGTCTCTTTGAATACCTGGAAAGCAGTCCCAAGAAGGATAGGTACAAACAAGCCCAGATAGCGAAGACCATAATAAATACATAATTCCTCAATGCTGAGACAAAGACAAAGATCCACAAGCTACTAGACCATCTGGGGAAATGTGACCTCACAAAATGAACTAAATAAAGCAACAGGGACAAATGCTGGATAAACAGAGGTATGTAACCTTTCAGAGAGATAATTCAAAAAAAAAAAAGCTGCTTTGAGGAAACTCAAAAAAATTCAGGATAACACAGGGATGGAATTCAGGATACTATAGAATCAATTTTACAAAGAGTTGAATTAATTTTAAAAAAATCAAACAGAAATTCTGGAACTGAAAATTGAAATTGGTGTACCGAAAAATGCATCAGTCTTTTAATAGCAAAATAGATCAAGCAGAAAGAAGAATTAGTGAGATTGAAGAAAACCTAATTGAAAATACACATTCTGAGGAGACAAAAGAAGAAGGAAGAAAAACAATAAAACATGCTTACAGGATTTTGAAAACAAGCCTCAAAGGTGCAAATTTAAGACTTATTGCCCTTAAATAGGAGGTGTAGAGATAGGAGTATGAATTTTATCCAAAGGAATAATAACAGAGACCCGCCAAAACCTACAGAAAGAAAGCAATATTTAAATATAAGAAGGTTATAGAACGCCACACGTATTTAACCTGAAGAAGACTACCTCAAGGCATTTAATAATGAAACTCCCAAAGAACAAGGGTAAATAAAAGATCCTAAAAGCAGGAAGAGAAAAGAAACAAATAACATGTAATGGAGCTCCAACACGTCTGGCAGCAGGCTTTTCGTTGGAAACCTGATAGGCCAGAAGAGAGTTGCATGACATATTTAAAACGCTGAAGGAAAAAAAAAAAAAGTTACGCTAGAATAGTATATCTGGAAAAAATATCCTTCAAACATGAAGAAGAAATAAACACTTTTCCAAACAAGCAAAAGCTGAGAGCTTTCATGAACACTAGATCTGCCTTACAAGAAATGCTAAAGGGAGTACTTCAATCAGGAAAAAGGATGTTAATGAGCAGTAAGTAAGGACCTGAAGGTACAAAACTCACTGGTACTAGTTAGTACACAGAGAAACAGAGATTATTATAAGACTGTAACTGTGGTGTGTAAACTATGTTTATCCTAATTAGAAAGACTAAACAATAAACCAAAAAAAATAACTACCAACAACTTTTTAAGACATAGACAGTACAATTAGATATAAATAGAAAAAAACCAAAATGTTAAAAAGCAGAAGCACAAAGTTAAGGTACAGAATTTTTGTTAGTTTGGTTTTTCCTTGGCTGTTTATGAAAATAGTGTTAAATTTTTATAAGGGTAAAATAATATTTTCATAAATAAGACTTTATGAAAATAGTGTTAAATTCTTTTTTTTTTTTTTTTTGAGACGGAGTCTTGCTCTGTCATCCAGGCTGGAGTATGCAGTGGCGTGATATCGGCTCACTGCAACCTCCGCCTCCCGGGTTCAAGCAATTCTCCTGCCTCAGCCTCCTGAGTAGCTGGGATTACAGGCATGCACCACCACACCCGGCTAATTTTTGTATGCTTACTAGAGACGGGGTTTCATCATGTTGGCCAGGCTGGTCTCGAACCCTCATGCTCATGATCCACCTGCCTCAGCCTCCCAAAGTGCTGGGATTGCAGGCGTGAGCCACTGCAGCCAGCCCTAAATTCTTATAAGGGTAGAAGATGGTATTTGCAAGCCTCATAGGAACCTCAAACCAAAATCATACATGGATACACAAAAAATGAAAATCAAGAAAATAAATTATGTCAACAGAGAAAATCACCTTCACTAATGGAAGAAAGGAAGGAAAGAAGAGACCACCACAAAACAAGCCTAAAACAAATAACAAAATGGCAGGAGGAAGTCCTTACTTATCAAAAATAGCATTGAATGTAAATCCACTAAACTTTTCAATTAAAAGATAAAGACTGCCTGAATGAATGAAACAAGACCCATTGAACTACTGCCTACAAGAAATACACTTCACCTCTAAAGACACACATAGACTAAAATAAAGGAATGGGAAAAGATATTTCATACCAGTGGAAACCCAAATGAGCAGGAATAGCTCTATTTATATCACACAAACACACAGCTAGTATCATACAGAATGAGGAAAAACTGAAAGTCTTTCCTCTAGGATCTGGAACATGACACGAATGCCCACTTTCAACACTGTTATTCAACATAGTACCGGAAGTCCTAGTTAGAGCAATCAGACAAGATAAAGAAATAAAGGGCATCCAAACTGGAAAGGAAGAAATCAAATTATCCTTGTTTGCAGATGATAGAATCTTATATTTAGATAAACCTAAAGAATCCACAAGAAAACTGTTAGAACTGATAAACAACTTAAGTAAAGTTTTCAGAATACAAAATCAACATACAAAAATCAGTAGCATTTCTATATGCTAACAGTGAATAATCTGAAAAAGAAATAAAAAGTGATCCCATTTAAATAGCCACATAAAAAATTAAATTTACTCACAAAAGAATAAACTTAATCAAATAAGTGAATGATCTCTATAATGAAAACCATAAAACACTGAGGAAAGAAATTGAAGAGGACACAAAAAAATGGAAAATTACTCCAATTCATCGAGTGGCAGAATCAATATTGTTAAAATGTGCATACGACCGAAAGCAATCTACAGATTCAATGCAATCTCTATCAAAATACAAAGCAAACATAGACAAATGGAATCACATCAAGCATAAAAGCTTATGGAGAGCAAAGGAAACAGTCAACAAAGTGAAAAGACATCCCACAGAATGGGTGAAAACATTTGCAAACTACCAGTTTGACAAGGAATTAGTAACAAGTATATATCAGGAGCTGAAACTACTCTATAGGAAAACAATATAATAATCTGATTTTTAAAATGAGCAAATGACTTATAGAGACATTTTTCAAAAGAAGACATACAAATGATGAACAGGCATATGAAAAGACGCTCAACATCCTTGATCATCAGAGAAATGAAAATAAAAAATACAATGAGATATCATCTCATCTCAGTTAAATTGGCTTATTTCTAAAAATAAGCCAATATGCAGGCAATAACAAATGCTGGCAAGGATGTGGTTAATAGGGAACCCTTGTACAATGTTGGTAGGAATGTAAATTTGTACAACTATGGAGATCAATTTGGAAGTTCTTCAAAGAACTAAAAATAGAGCTATCACACGACTCAGCATTCCCACTCCTGGGTATATACCCAAAAGAAACGAAATCAATATATTGAAGAGATATCTCCATCCCTATGTTTATTGCAGCACTGTTCACAATAGCTAAGGTTTGAAAGCAACCTGTGTTCATAAACAGATGCATGAATAAAGAAAGTGTGGTACATATACACCATGGAGTACTATTAAGCCATAAAAAAATGAAATTCTGGCTGGGTGAAGTGGCTCACACACATCATCCCAGCACTTTGGGAGGCCGAGGCAGGTGGATTACTTGAGGTCAGGAGTTCAAGACCAGCCTAGCCAACATGGTGCAACCCCACCTCTACTAAAAATACAAAAATCAGCTGGGGTGTGGTGGCACATGCCTGTAATCCCAGCTACTTGGGAGGCTGAGGCAGGAGAACTGCTTGAACCCGGGAGGCGGAGCTTGCAGTGAGCCGAGGCTGCGCCACTGTACTCCAGCCTGGGTGACAGAGCGAGACTCCGTCTCAAAAAAAAAAAAAAAAAAAAAAAGAAAAAAAGAAATTCTGTCATTTGCAACAACATGAATAGAACTGGAGATCATTATGTTAAGTGAAATAAGCCAGGAATAGAAAGACAAACATCAGATTTTCTCACTTATTTGTGGCATCTAAAAATCAAAACAATTGAACTTATGGAGATAGATATTAGAGGAGGGATGGCTACCAGAGGTTGGCAAGGGTAGTGCAGGGCTGGAAGGGATGTGGGAATGGTTAATGGTTAAGAGGTTAAATAATAGAAAGAATGAATAAGACCTACCATTTGATCACAAAATACGGTGACTATAGTCAATAATAACTTTATTATATATTTTAAAATAACTAAAAGTATGTAATTGAATTGTTTGTAACACAAAGGATAAATGCTTGAGAGGATGGTTACACCGTATTCTATGATGCCATTATTTCACATTGGATGCCTGTATCAAACCATCTGATGTACCCCTCAAATATATATCCCTGTTGTATACCTATAAAAATTAAAAATAAAAAAAAGAATTAAAAAAACAAGTATAATAAAGAATTTTATTAGGTTAGTTGACAGTAATATTTTTTAACATGCCTTCCAAGTGATTTTAAGGTGTTACTGCTCTACTCTGTTGCTGTTTTATTTTATTCAGAACTCTTGAAATAATCTGATTTTCTCTTATCTATCTGTTTTGTCTGTCTCCTACCACCTGAATGTAAGGATTTTTTTTTTTTGTTCATTGCTGTATGCCCAGTTCCTAGAACACTACCTGCCTAATTCATGAGCGGTACTAAAATGTATTTGTTGAAACGTACACCAAACATATTACTGATGTTTGCCACTGCATGAGGAGATTCTTCATATATTTCATTTTCTTCACAATTTGTTAGCATATTTTTAATTTTTAAAATGATTTTAAATTGGCATGTAATAATTGTACATATTGTTGAAAACAGTGAGGTCTTAAAACATATAATTTATGGTGATCAATTTAGGGTAATAAACATATCGGTCACCTCAAACATTTATCGTTTCTTGTACTGGACAAATGAAAAATCCTCTCTTCTAGCTATTTGAAAATATAAATTAAATTACTTTTAACTATAGCTATTATATAGTGCTATAGGACACTGAAACTTATTCCTGCTATTTATCTGTAATTTTGTATCATCTAACCAACCTCTCCATATTCCACTCCCACTGCCCTTTCCAGTCTCTAGTAACAACTATTCTACTCTCTACTACTATAAGATAAATTTTTTCTAGCTTGTGAATGTGAGTGAAAACACATATCTGAAAACAAATTTAAAAAATCCCTCCAACTCCATACTGTTTTCCATAATGGATATCTTAATTTACATTCACTCCAACAGTGTATAAGAGTTTTCTTTTCTCTACATCCTTGCCAACATTTGTGATCTTTCATTTTTTGGTAAGAGTCATTCTAACAGGAGTGAGGTGATATCTCATTGTGGTTTTGATTTGCATTTCCCTGAAGAAGAGTAATGTTGAGCATTTTATTTTCTTTTATTGACTTATAAACAATAGATATTTATTTCTCACAATTCTGGAGGCTGGAAGCCTGAGGTCAGGGTGTCAGTATGATCAAGTTATGGGGAAGGCTCTCTTCCGAGTTGCATACTGTTGACTTCTTGTTGTATCTTCATTTAGTGGAAAGTGGGTGAGAGAGCTCTCAGGGGTCCCTTTTAATTGGGCACTAATCCCATTCATGAGGGCTCCACCCTCATGACCTATTCACCACCCCCTAAAGGCCCCACCTCCTAATACTAACCTTTTGGGAATTAGATTTCTTTTTGTAACTTTTATTTTATATTTAGGGGTACATTTGCAGGTTTGTCATATAGGTAAACTTCTCTCATGGGGGGTTGTTGTATAGATTATTTCATCATCCAGGTATTAAGCCTAGTACCTATTAGTTATTTTTTCTGGTTCTCTTCCTTCTACCACCCTCTACCCTCCGGTAAGCCCCAGTGTATGTCATTCCTCTCTATGTGTCCATGTGTTCTCATCATTTAGCTCCTACTTATAAGTGAGAACATGTGGAATTTGGTTTTCTGTTCCTGCATTAATCTGATAAAGATAATGGCTCCTAGCTTCATCCATATTCCTGCAAAGGATATAACCTTGTTCTTTCTTTTTTTGGCTTTATATTATTCCATGGTGTATATGTACCATATTTTCTTTATTCAATCTACCATTAATGGGCATTTAGGTTGATTCTGTGTCTTTGCTATTGCGGTAGTGCTGCAATGAACATATGTGTGCATGTGTGTTTATGACAACTAGATTTCTATTTCTTTGGGTAAATAACCAGTAATTGGATTGCTGGGTTGAATGGTAGTTCTGTAGTTAGGTCTTTGAGGAATCACCACACTGCTTTCCACAATGGTTGAACTAAGAGCACACCAAGAGTATACAAGCATTGCATGTTCTCTGCAACCTGGCCAACATCTGTTATTTTTTGACTTTTAAATAATCATTCTGACTGTTGTGAGATAGAATCTCATTGTGGTTGAAAAGACTTCCTATTCAATAAACGGTGCTGGGGTAATTGGCTAACCATAAGCAGAATATTGAAACTGGAAAACTTCCTTAAACCACACACAAAAATCAACTCAGGCTGGATAAAGGACTTTAATGTAAAGCCCAGTACTATGAGAAACAAGGAAGACAACCTAAGCAATGCTATCCTGGACATAGGAGTGGACAAAGATTTCATGATGTAGATGCCAAAAGCAATTGCAACAAAAGCACAAATTGACAAACAGGATGTATTTAAACTAAAGAGCTTCTGTACAGCAAAATAAACTATTAACAGAGTAAACAGACAATCTACATAACGGGAGAAAATTTTTGCTAACTATGCATCTGACAAAAGTCTAATATCCTGCATCTATGAGAAATTTAAACAATTCTATAAGAAAAAAAACATTAAAAATAAGCAGAGGACATGAACAGACACTTTTCAAAAGATGACATACATGCCGCCAACAAACATGTGAAATAAAGCTCAGCATCACTCATCATCAGAGAAATGCAAATCTCTTTTTTTCAATTTTTTTGGTCATTCATATGTCCGCTTTTGAGAAATGTCAATTCCAATTATTTGTCAATCAGATTATTTGTTTTTGTACTGTTCAGTTGTTTTAGTTTCTTGTTTATTCTGGTTATTAATCTCCTGTCAAAAGAATGACTATGCTACTAAAACAATATACAGATTGAATGCAATCTCTATCAAAATACTCATGACAGCCTTCACAGAAATATATATATATATATATATATATATATATATATATATACATACATATATATATATGTACAGTACATATGTAACCACAAAATATTTTGGCTAGCCAGAGGAATCCTGAGCAAAACAATAATAATAATAAATAAAGCTGTAGGTGTCATACTACCAGATATCAAAATATACCACAAAGTTATAGTAACCAAAACAGCATGGTACTGGCATGAAAAACAGACACATAGACCAATAGAGCCGAATAGAGAGCCAAGAAATAAATCCAGATATTTATAGTCAATTGATTTTTCACCATTGTACAAAGAATAATCATTTGGGAAAGGACAGTTTATTCAATAGATGGTGCTGGGAAAACTGAAGATCTACATGCAGCCCCTTGAAACTAGACCCCTATCCCAGCATATACACCTCAAAATGGACTAAATAAATGTGACACCCTAATCTGTAAAGCTATTAGAAGAAAACATAAGAAAAACTGTTCAAAATTAATCTGGCAAAATATTTTACAAATAAGACCTTAAAAGCCCAGGCAACAAAAGCAAAAATAGATAAATGAAGTTATATCAAAGTAAGAAGGTTCTGCACAGCAAAGGAAACAATCAACAAAGTAGAAAGACAACCTACAAAATGGTAGAAAATATTTGCATTTACTAAATTTTAAACCATCTGTGTATATAATTTCCAAACTATAAAAAAATTGCATCATGTAATATTATGTACATGTCTGCATTTCCCATATCAATAACACCATTTAGCCTCTGTTGGAGTCCCATCATCTCCCTAACGACTGAAGCTGCAAGCTGTCTCAATATTGAATTTAGCAATATTATGATTAGCTTCTGAACAGTATCTTCAGGGGTAATTTAAAATCCAAGCCCATACTTTTGGTAGCACTTGACTATTTTACAAGTAAGTGACTTTTCAAATGGCATGAACATGTTCTCATTCTTCCATCTATAATCTTCCAAAATTTTATGTATATATCACTTTAAGTATATCACCAATTCCAATCTAGTTTTCTTAATAATCTTGAGACCCTCTGTAGCAACAGCATAAATAAAGTCATAATATTTAGAACCCACAAAAGTAATTACGTTGATTTATACAGATTCTTTCCCTATTGTTATAATAGTTTATTTTAAAATGGTAACCCAAGAAAATTGCTTAATTGAAGTGAAATGTAAACACTTATCTTTAAAAAGATGGCTCTGGAATAATGAAACATCTGCTTTATTCTCATGACCATATATTACTGCCCTGACAACTCTAATCATTTCCACGCAGGCTATCTTTAAAATAGTATTGAGATGGTAATTCCACAATTAACTTCCTGTGTGACCTTGGGCTGTGACCTTGGGCAAGCCACTTGTCTCCTGTGGACCTTTTTTCCCTCATCGGTAAAGAAAAAAAAAATTATTAAATGAGTTCTTATGCCCTTTCTAGCTCTAAATTTTATCATATCCATGTCAATTTTTCACGTGGGGATTTCATAACAGTGAGTATCATTTGCTCATATTTTAGATAGCCAGTGCCAATTTGAGGGAAACTAACATTTAAAAAGTAATAAAACAGTATTAGTGACCTTGCTAAAACTGACATTATATTCTTTTAATATTCACAATTCATGTAAGTAGAGGTAGGAGAAAAAAAAACTAAATTGGAAATAAAAGCAAATATGCACTAAGCGATAACCCTGTGCTAGGCACTCTTTTGTGTGTTTTACATCTATTAAGCTATTTAACCTTCTGAACAATTCTGTAAACTAGGTTTTAGTATTACACTTATTTTACTCCTAAGGAAGCCGAGGGAAAAGGGAAAAATGGTAACATCATGAAACTGGTAACAGTCAAAACTGGGGTTCAAACCAAGACAAGCAGAATCCCGAGTCCATGCTCATATTTACCACATTCTGTTACCTCTAAACAGTCCAGCTTATACGTGCTTCTTTAAGATACTCACACATGTCTTTGAAGGAGCTCAATGATGATGCTCTACTTTTTCAGGGCAGAACCCCAAGAGGTCACATTAGCTGTATAGCCTTGCCTGCTGGTGTAGTCTTTTTTCTGTTGTTATAACAGAATACCACAGACTGGGTATTTATAATAACTTTATTTGGCTCATGGTTCTGGAGGCTGAAAAGTCTAAGACAATGGTGTTGTTATCTGGCAAAGGTCTTCATGCTGCTTTATCCCATGAGGCAAGGCAGAGGGGCAAGAAAGAGCAAGAGCAAGTGAAGGCTAAACTTTCTTTTATAACAACCCAGTGTCAAGATGATGACATTAATCCACTCATGAGAGCAGAGCCCTCACAGCCTAATCACCACTTAATGGTCCTGCTTCTTAGTACTGTCACAATGGCAATTAAATGTCAACATGAGTTTTGGAGGGGACATTCAAACCATAGCACCTGTGCTTAGGAGCAGCAACACCATGGCTTTCAGAACTGACTCTACTCACCAATTCTCCCTTGAACACTGAGCCATTTCAATGAGCTTCGGTCTGTCTCATCCCAAGGCAGAAGAACCAGCACAAATACATGCAGTTATGGCAAAAACAGAAACACTGACATCCTCTTTAGGTCTTTTCATGAATTTAATGACAGAGCTGGGATTTCTCTCTTTATTTTTTCCCACGTGTTTATATCTAGTCTCCCTGCATAAATAATAAGTGACTTTTGGCAGAGATAATGTATATTGAATAATCTGTAGCCCTCAGAGTAGTGAATGTTTATTGAGCATCTAGTCAATGCCAGACATAGCTTTAGATCCTGAGGTTGCAGAAATGAATAAAATAAAGTTTCGTTTTTGAAGAGCTCATAGATTTGCAGGGAGACACACATGTATATAGCCCAAACAGGTAAGTGACATAAAAATGTAATAATTACATGGCTGTACATGCACGGAGAAGAGAATCATTCACTCTGCTGAGAGAAGATAAAGCAGTGTATATGACCATGAGCTTTGGAGTCAGACACAATTTGGTTTGAATTTTGGTGCCTCAATTTTCAAGCTATGTGACCTTAAAGAAGAAATTTAACTTCTCTGATTCTCAAGTCTTTTATCTGTGAAATGGGATTAGTAATGAGGTTTAAATAAGAAAATTCACCTAGCAAATGTCTGGCGTAGAGTAGGTTTTAAATACATAGCAGCTACGGTTAATATTAGGGAAATTCTTATGGAGAAGAAATCAGTTGATGTAGCCCTTGAAGAAGGTACATGAAAAGATAATGGGACAATATTTCAGTTAAGGAAAATAGCATGAGATATTGCACGGAGGAAGAAAAAGGCATCTTTGCTAAAGGAAAGGAAAATAATTTCGTACGACTCTTGAGAATTTTAGAGGTTTGGGGTCAGAATGAAAAGAGCGCTTGAAAAACAAGCTACAATTAGACTGATACGGGCCTTAAAAATCACGGTCAAAGGATCTTGAACTCCAGCCTATAGGAAAAGCAGAATAATAGAAGGAGCTTAAATATGGAGTGGGATGGAAAGATGACATATTATCTCATCTATATTTTTAATGCCTCAGGAATAGAGTGTGATCATCTTTCAGATTATATTGTTATCCCTGAGTAAATCTTTTTCAGGATGACTTTAATTCCAAGGCAAAAAGCTGATGAGACAGCTGCCTACCAGCAGCCATTAATTCAGTCTACATTCTTTAATTGCAATTCTCAAAACTGTCCACTAATACATTTTCTAAAATAATAATAGTCCAACAGGGAAAACAGTTTGCTGGTTCTGCATTTTTCATTCAGCAGTAAGGAAAAAACCCTTCACTATTTAGCTTGACTCAAGGTTGCAAATTTTATTGGATTTTATCACCTTAAAGAGCCCATGTTTTTTATTATTGTAACCATATATAAATTTTCTAAAAGATTCCCAAAGGCCACACAACCAAACTATAGACAATGGAGAAAGTTTATCTTGAAAGCTTATCTCATTTTTGCATTTGCCTCTGCCGTCTTTGACCCAGGAGTCCCAATAGCTGACGTTGAATTCATAGAGCTCATTTCAAGGCCTTTAGACAATGTTTCTCCTCCCAGAATCCATCAGCCACAGTTCAAAAACAAAATTAATTATCTTTTCACAAAATGGATTCTTTTCAAGATGAAGTCTGAATTTTACCTCTGGCCATTCTTTGATGGAGTTGAGAAATATGACCACAATTACAGATGGCTCAGGGGACAACACAACTAATTCACACGGTGACATGAAATCAGTCACTCTTTATCTCAAGCCCCATTTCCACTTCCGTAAAGGAGAGTTTTAGGCTGCAGAGTCTGAGAGGGACCATTTAGTGCGGACATTCTCGACTTCATTTAAGCATTTAGGTTTTCCTATTAGTTTGAGAACAAAGTGTTTAATAACCTGGGAAGAAATTATAGCAGAGAAGTATCACATACCAAAATTATAGACAGCTACTAGACAACATTTACTGTGCATTTACTGTATATCAGACTCTCTTGGACGTGTTTGTAATAATCCCATATTAATCATAGGGTACCATACCTATAAGGTGGAATATGGTAGAGTTTAATTCCTTTGGGACAAGTTCCCAAGGAAACTCCTGGAAGAGAAAAATCTTTAAATTTGTCCAGTGACTAAAGTCCTAAAGTCCGTTTTAGAGCAGCCGTTTCTGTTTCCACAGTTGCCCAACTTTGCCACCTCCCCACAACTCTCTTGAGTATGACCAAAAATATAGTTACTATATACCCCCGTCATCACTATAATGATGGCTGGCAGATTAAAAATACGCCAAACAGAGCAAAGCTCCATGTGTGAAGCACTAACATAAAGGTACTTATAGAGAACCATCAGGTCCAAACTCGATCCCTGCAATCATGCATGATATTTCTTGAGGCAATTTTAACTGAGATTGACGATACCCGGGAAGGTGAACTTCTTACTGCTTTTCAGTTATACCCTCAACTACTGCTGTGATAAATTAGAATATTTCAGCTGAAAATCTGAAGGTATGGGTTCTAGTCTTTACTAGTAAGAGTAATTAGTTGTGTTAAATGTGAACAAGACACAAAGTGTCTGGGCCTCAGTTTCTTCATATATGAAAGGAGAAAGCTAAACTGGATGATCTTCAATATTTCAGCTGGTCTAACATTTTGTGGTTATCAGGAAATCCGTTTCTTGTTCCCCATATGTCGCATATACTTCTGTGGCTCTCAGAGACTATCTCCTTCTATTTATAAATAGATTTTAATATTCATTTGGAAGATACAGACTTTTTAATTAATCAAAATGTTCAATGTAGTATTTTATCATTTACAAAAATTGACATACTTTTTAATAATTAATTTTATTATTTTTTTAAGTTCCAAGGTACATGTGCAGGATGTGCAGGTTTGTTACATAGGTGGTTTCCTGCACCTAACAACCTATCATCTAGGTATTAAGCCCATATGCATTAGCTCTTTTCCCTAATGTTATGTTTGACTATTCTATAAAGTATTCCAAAGCACATAGCAGTGTGAGAATTGAAAGGTACAGGCATGCATTAATGAGCAACACATCAAGGAGTCTGGAGACTCTTCAAGTAGTCCGTTTTCCAGACAATTCTCTGAGATTTCATCCTATTTAAAACCCTGCCATCTTTTTAGTTGACAAGGTATAATAACTTTCTCACACTTCTTTAATAAGTCACCCAAGCATTCCACCTTGGCCAAAGAGAATAATTCATATAATTTAAATAAACCTTCCACATAGGTGTCCACTGAGTGATCAAGCTTGACCTAATCTTATGATGGAGCCAAGTGAGTATATGACTTCATTATGCCTATATATCAAGTAGCTCAGCAAAAAAGTAGGCAATTTTAAACATTTCCATAGGAAGCTTCCTGTAACAGTGGGACAAGATATATAGCCAAGCATCTGCTGAACTCTCCCTACGAGGATAAGGCAAAACCACAGCCCAGATTTTGTGGTATGGTCTCAATCTGAAACATCTTTTCCCATTGTTCCCATAAAGTATCAGAATATCCTGAAGATTCCAATATTCCAGTATTCAAACTACTTCTACCACCATGCATCTTGTTTCAAATATGAAACCTAGAGCTTTTTTTTGTCACCACTCTGTTAGGTTCCAAGACATCTGGAAGAATATTCAAATGTGGTCTATTACTAGAAAAAGAACAATCTAACTCTTAGAAGACTATAACCACACTCATTTTCTAAAGGATAACACAAAATTTTTCTTTAGTTTCCCCATCACTCAAAATGGAAACACCTTCATTGGGCATAGGAAGTCTTCCTTCCTCCCTGATTTCCCTCTATTTGCTCTTTTTTACTCACCATCCTCTTCCCTGGATCCTACCTTAGTGTAGTGAGAGTCAGGGAATCTTCATTCTCAGCTTCCTCATGGAAGATTTGACTCCCTACCATGAAGATGTATATATCCCACTCATGAGGTTAGCTTAGGACTTTCAGAGAAAAACAGTTAGTTGCAACTAACACTCAGTATGTGCCGGGCACTGTCCAAGTACTTTGCATAAGCATTTGTTTCTCTCAGAAAATCTATGAGTTAAGTGCATTTATTAACTCTTCCATTTTACAGATTAAGATATAACCTAAGCATAAAGAGATTAAATAACATGCCTCATCTCTAAACCGAAGCAGTCTGTGTTTGGAGTCCATGCTATAGCCACTGAACCACCTTTTAATATATTACAAATACTCTTAAATATGGGAAGAATTGGATGGAGGAAGAAGAATTTGTTCACATTGCAACTTGAAAGTTTCAAATCAGAAATCAGTGATGAAAACATGATAAATGATAAAATCTCAGTATAAATTATTTTCTTTTATTATATAGCCCCTCATTTTAAGCATATGTACCCCCAAATGAAAACATAACATACCTGAAGCTTCAGAATAAAAGAATCTGCACATATTTGAATTTCTGCCTCTTTCCTCTGTGAATCTGAGCAAACAAAACATTGTTTCTGTTGGTTCTCAGTATTAGGCAGTAAAAGATTTAATAATGCAGTAAGCAGGGCTTTATTTTTTATCTTTAAATGACCTTTTAAATCAGGTTTTACTGAGGGCTTAATTTTTTCTCTGAAAATCTTTAATACACAGAATAAGAAAAAGGAAGAATTAGTAAAACCGTAACCATATTTTTTATTAAGAAAAAATATTATTTTGGGGATACAAAAATACATGGAAAAGAAAGGGTAACCTGCCTACTTAATGCATAAGTCTGTTTTGATCCTTTAAACAAAGAATGTGTTTCTCTTACAAAAATAACCTGGTATAAAAAACATCTCTTTGAGGACCACAACCCCCAAGTATGTACTTGCTAGGAACACGTTATCTACAGCTGGTTTGTATCACACTTGCACAAGCAAAGATGTTCTAACCAGTCTGTTTACTGTACCTAAGTATAATAAAAGCTGTCTACTAACCTTCTCTACTACAAGCCACTTTTATTTGTTGATTTCAAATAGACACTCTGGTGCCCCTCTAAATGAGAGAAATTCTTAAAGACACCAGCCACTGTTTACTCAATGGGTTTGACAGATCAACGCAAAGAAAATGGTGCAAAGTCTGCCAGGATACTCTATTCTTCAAACCTTCAGAGCCAGAAACTGTGCTCAAAATAGGGCAGCGGTTTCTCAGAGGATTTCTGAACCGTGGAGAAGAAATTTGTTTCTACCGAATCTACTGACATCTTCTCAGTCTGGAAGCTTAGAATCAAATCACCCCTTTGCCACAGGGATGACTAGAGGATCAGCCACATGGTGGCGCCATCTTATGTGGTAGAGTCTGCAAAGGCCCTCCCCATAGGCCTTCTGCTTAGTGGTCGACTGTGGTCCGTTGCAATTATGCCTCAGTTTCACAGTCCCTTCATGCCACCCACTCACATACTCCCCTTCCGTTCCCTTAGTATAAACATGCCTACTCTAGACAGGGTCACTGACTTTGCTTAGGAAAGCCTACAAAATAATAATGCACAGCACTTGCTCTCCAAGTGTTTACAGTCTAACTGGGGCAGGTGAGACATTTAGATAAATAAATAATTCTAATACAAGGTAAAAATGTAAAGGTTTCTTATAGTCTTTGCATTGTTTAGGAGAAAGAAAAAATTATCTGAGCTAAGAGGAGTTAGGGAAATTTTGTCGAGGTAGAAGCACCAGAGAATTTTCCTTTTGCATATGCTCTTCTTCGTCTGCTTTTCAGAGTATACATTCCTCTCTTCTGGATACCACTCAATTATTTCACCATTTTACCTTGCATATATTCCTCTCATATTTTAATGCATATTCCAATTATATCTTGATATGTGTACCTCTCATATAATACTTCTGTACCCCATAAGAGCAGAGGCCACACCTTAGTGTCTGCTGGATCCCCATCCTGCTCACTGTCTTCAGTATATGTTGAATTAAATAATAATAGCAAATATGTACTATTGAGAGCTCTTCCAGGTGGGTTACATAAATGCTTTACATTTAATCCTCCCAACAACAAAATAAGGTCAGTATCCTTCTTATGTCTATTTTACAGATAAGGAAACTGAACCACAGAGGAGTTAAGTAACTTCCCCAAGTTCACACAGTTCTAAAGTATTGTGAGCCAGGACTTGAACCTAGGCAGTCTTCCTTCAAAGTTTGAACTCCACTCCATTGTTCTGCCTCTGTAAACACACAATACGTGAGTTTGATCTAAGTGATATGATTTGAATTTTAATATTGGCAGAAGGAGATCCCAAGTGGAGATTTTAGTATTAGTAAAGGTGTATCAAAGAGAAAATGTAGGAGTGCATAAGAGGCAAAAAAGAGTTTAATTTTACTGGAATAGGGAATGCATATGTTAAAAGTGGTGATACAAAAAAGGTATAAGGTTGGAAATGAGCTGGCAGAGAGGGACTAGGTAGTCTTGGGGCCGTCATCTCCCCATCATTCTTGACAAAAAACTAAGCCCTCTGTGGTTCTTTTCATGTTTTGCTCACCACATATAATCTGGTTGAGGTCCTTTGACTTCTCCTCTGTATTTTTTTTTTCTTGAATTTATCTTCTCTCCAGTTCACCTACCTCTAGAGCAGGGGCTAAATGAATACCTCCTACTCGGATTACTGAGAATGTCACACAACTAAGATCTTTGTTGACGTGCCCATCCAGGAGCAGAAATACTCTTGAAATACACTGTGATTGCCACACTACTACTCAAAAAGCCCCAGTGACTCCCCTTGCCTGAAGAACAAAAGCATGGTATGGTGAGTTATTCTCTACTCAGTTCTGTATCTGTGTGCTTCTGTGGTTGGTTGTGCTGAGCCCAGACTAATAGGATTTTCATGAGCTAATTGGTCAGATTCTGGGCAAGGGTCAAGATTCTGGACAGAACCTGATAGAACTTTTCAGGGAGACTCAATGATACAGTGCAAGAGCAGAGCTGTTTTATCATCTAAGTGTCAAAAAGAGGCCCACAATTGGAGCCCTCAGAGGTTTTCCACTAGCAAAGACATGGGACCCTAAAGACTTGAAGATTTAGAGCAACAAGGAAGAGGGCATTCGGTACAATGATTAGAGTTCTTACGATAGACAGTGATGAAAGTGAAGTATGCGGTAGAGGACTCCTCAAAATAACAAGAGGATTAACTTTAATAGAGATAATTCATGACAATTAATCTTGTGGCGATTCATGGTGTCCAAATTTGGATTTTAAATAATGTAACTCTTGGACACTCTTGAAATTTGTCACCAGAAACTGTTAGGCAAGTCTTGACCTAGAGCAAGAGAGAGAACTTCTCTCTGCTTTCTCCTAGCTTCTCCACATAAAGATGAGTTGTTAATTGAATTGGGTCAAAGTTTGGGACACTGATAAGGTGATGTTTAATAGTGTCTTGGGTCGTTGTGTGACAAAGTCATACACATGGATGTAGTCCTCTTTCCTCCCCCACCCCAATCCATACTATCAGACTGACAAATTGAACTGGGTTGGCATTCTAAGGCAACGGATGGCCACCTTACCCTCTCTTTCTTCTCTTTACTCCATCCCTTTATAGCGTAAGCTGAGCTAGAAAGCAGTGTCAGTGAATTAAGCCAGGAGATCTTGATATCATTTGTTTCCTCTTATGTATAAGCTGTAAGGAATCCACTGTGTGACCCTCTGCAGTTCACTGGTGATAAAAGCCATATTTAAAGGGATGAGACAGCCATTTCTGTCCACAGGGTTATTAAAGTAACACAAATACAGGTTAGTCATTCTTAATTACAAAGTTCACAATTTATTCCAAAATACATAGCTGCAGTATTGGCAATCAGAAAAGTATTTCAAGCCTAATAGCAGTAAAATACTGTTACTCCCAAGCTGCTGGCCTCTCTTCTGAAGTAAGGCTTTCTCAAAATCTGTCTGATTAAGTCTCAAGCTATCCATCAGAGATATGTGAGATGCTTGTCAAAACAAAACAAAACTAAACCAGTGTCCCACTGCTGGGGATGAAACAGAGACTTCCTTAGCTGCAAAGTTCTGGGTTTTCCACAGTTTATTTTCTATTCTTTCTCAGTTTCTCCATGGGTGAACTTGGCTACCCCATTTCAGCATTCCAGCCAATCAGCCTAGCAACTCTGCTTCAGTAGCTTAGAAAATCGAGATCATTCCATTTTAGTATTTTATGTAATCCCATTTTGACATGTGTGAAAAGAAGCTGGACCTCAGTAGTCCTTTTTTAGAGCAATGTTTCAGTTCATAGAGATACATCTCAAACAGAAATTTTAATATTTATCTATGTGTCCCTCTCTCAAATATTTGATAGAGTTCAAGTGTTTATTTCATAACATCTATTATAAAAATCCTGTTGCCTTTTTTGTCCTTCAGACACCTCTCTCCTCCAACCTATTGCAACTCTTCACAACTAGCTCCTGATTTGTTTCATCCCTCAACATACACAACACTTGGTGGTGGCTGGGGTGGGGAGTAGAAAGTGGAGAATACTTCTTTGGTACTTTACATACTTTCTCAAGAAAATCCAACTATTCCCATCTCTCATTGGGAAATAATGGAAAATGCAAATTAGCTCATTCATTTGGTGTCTACTCATTGAGCACTTGCTATGTGCAAGACACTCTTCCAGGTACCAAGGACAGAGCTATGAACAAAGCAACAAAGGGGAACCTCTACCTCCATGAAACTTACATTCTAAATGGTAAGAAAACAAATACAATTTAAAAACCAAGAATGTTTTTCCCTTTACAATGGTAAAAACTTTACCTATGCTTCATTAGTCACACAGAGAGGCAATATTACATGTTAAGTGAGCTTGAGGATACAATCCCTGTGATTTCCTACCCTGCAGGCCACCCTTGAGGGGCCAGAACCAATTCTAATTGGTATACCGGAGAGGCTGTCTCTCAGATCATGAACATAAGCCTTTTGCCATATCCCAGTTTACCAGAGAGAACATAAATTAGAAAATTTATCCAGCACCAGTTCATACAATCATAACCTGAAACTGGTTTTCTATTTGTCATTTCCCTTTGTGTGCCTTCTTTCTCAAAAATTTCACAAGAAGGAGTTCTAAGTTAATCTTGTTTTGGAACATTACCGGATCCTTGACCTGCTACCACTTAGTCACTCTGAAATCTCATCATCGTTTCTAACAGCTCTTAGTATATAGTCACAATCTGGCAAAGTCTGGAATAGTTGACTTACATACTATTTTGCTAATTTTTATTTGATAGGTTTTTGATTTAAGTGTGGCCATTTTTATATGGCCATCTTTTTCAGATATGCTATTCTGAGTTGCTTTTCAATTTCTTCTTGAAAAGCGCTCTCCTTTCCCAGCAAATTTTTCCATGGTCAGTGATATGGTTTGGCTGTGTCCCCACTCAAATCTCATCTTGAATTCCCACATGTTGTGGGAAGGATCTGGTGGGAGGTAATTGAATCATGGAGCAGGATTTTCCAGTGCAGTTCTCATGAAAGTGAAAAGTCTCATGAGATCTGATGGTTTTATAAGGGGGAGTTTCCCTTCACTAGCTTTTTTTTTGCCTACCGCCATCCATGTAAGATGTTACTTGCTCCTCCTTGCCTTCCGCCATGATTGTGAGGCCTCCCCAGGCATGTGGAACTTTAAGTTCATTAACACTCCTTCTTCTTCTCAGTTTTGGGTATGACTTTATCAGCAGTGTGAAAATGGACTAATACAGTAAATAGGTACCAGTAGAGTGGGGCATTGCTGAAAAGATACCTGAAAATGTGGAAGCAACTTTGGCACTGGGTAACAGGCAGGGGTCGGAACAGTTTGGAGGCTCAGAAGAGGACAGGAAGATGTGGGAAAGTTTGAAACTTCCTAGAGACTTGTTGAATGGCTTTCCCCAAAATGCTGATAGCAATATGGACAATAAAGTCCAGGCTGAGGTGGTCTCAAATGGAAATGAGGAACTCTTTGGGAAATGGAGCAAAGGTGACTCTTGTTATGTCTTAGCAAGGAGACTAGCAGCATTTTGCCTCTGCCCTAGAAATGTGTGGAACTTTGAACTTCAGAGAGATGACTTAGGGTATCTGGCAGAGGAAATTTCTAAGCAGCAAAGCATTCAAGAGGTTACTTGGGTACTGTTAATGGCATTCCGTTTTATAAAGGAAGCAGAGCATAAAAGTTTGGAAAATTTTCAGCCTGACAATGTGATAGAAAAGAAAATCTCATTTTCTGAGGAGAAATTCAAGCTGGCTGCAAAAATTTGCATAAGTAACGAGAAGCTGAATGTTATCTCCCAAGAAAATGGGGAAAATGTCTTTGGGGCATGTCAGGGTTCTTCATGGCAACCCGTCCCATCACAGGCTCCAAAGTTTAGGAGGAAAAAAATGGTTTCATGGGCTGGGCCCAGGGTCCCTCTGCTGTATGCAGTCCAGGGACTTGGTGTCCTATATCCCAGATGCTCTAGCCGTGACTAAAAGGGGCCAAGTTGCAGCTTGGACTGTTGCTTCAGAGGGTGCAAGTGCCACGCCTTGACAGCTTCCATGTGGTGTTGAGCCTGCAGGTGCACAGAAGTCAAGATTGAGGTTTGGGAACCTCTGTCTAGATTTTGGAAGATGTATGGAAACGCCTGGATGCCCAGGAAAAAGTTTGCTGCAGGGGCATGGCTCTCATTGAGAAACTCTGCTAGGGCAGTGTGGAAGGGAAATGTGGGGCCAGAGCCCCCACACAGAATCCCTACTGGGGCACCACCTAGTGAAGCTATGAGAAGAGGGTCACCATCATCCCGACCCCAGAATGATAGATCCAGCGACATCTTGCACTGTATGCCTGGAAAAGCTGCAGACAATGCCAGCCCAGGAAAGCAGCCAGAAGATGGGCTACACCCTGCAAAACCACAAGGGTTGAGCTGCCCAAGGCCATGGGAACCCACCTTTTGCATCGCTGTTACCTGGATGTGAGACATGGAGTAAAAAGAAATCATTTTGGAGCTTTAAGATTTGACTGCTCCGCTGGATTTTGGAATTGCATGGGGGCATGTAGCCCCTTTGTTTTGGCCAATTTCTCCCATTTAAAAGAGGTGTATTTACCCAATGCCTGTACCCCCATTGTATATAGGAAGTAACTAACTTGCTTTTGATTTTAGAGGCTCATAGGCAAAAGGGACTTGCCTTGTCTCAGATGAGACTGGACTGTGGACTTTTGATTTAGTGCTGAAAAGAGTTAAGACTTTGGGGGACTGTTGGGAAGGCATGATTGGTTTTAAAATGTGAGGACATGAGATTTGGGAGGGGCTGGGTTGGAATGATATGGTTTAGCTGTGTCCTCACCCAAATCTCATCTTGAATTCCCACGTGTTGTGGGAGGGACCTGGTGGGAGGTAATTGAATCGTTGGGGCAAGTCTTTCCAGTGCTGTTATCATGGTAGTGAATAAGTCTCATGAGATCTGCTGGTTTTATAAGGGGGAGTTTTCCTGCACAAGCTCTCTTTTTGCCTACCACCATCCAAGTAAGATGTGACTTGCTCCTTCTTGCCTTCTGCCATGATTGAGGCCTCCCCAGCCATGTAGAACTGTGAGTCAGTTAAAATCCCTTTTTCTTCCCAGTCTCAGGTACGTCTTTATCGGCAGTGTGCAAATAGACTAATACAGGCAGCTGTATTTGGAAGCTGCTATCCCATAGCCACATCCTACCACTAGTTACTGACCTCTGCCATTTTCAATGCCAAATAGCATTTATTCATTTATTTACTCAAATAATATTTACTGAGAGGCTACTATAAACTAGGTACTGTTCTAGGTGCCAGTGATACAGCACTGAATTTCAGGAAACATCCCTCTTCCACTGGAGCTTATTCTAGTGAGGAGAGACAAAAGATAAACCAATAAACATAATGTATCAGATGGTGATAAGTGCTACGCAGGTAAAGCAAGTAGAGTGAAGCTAGTAGAGAGTGACAGAGGTAACATTTGGGACAATACTCACTGTCAAGTGACATTGATCTTTCTTACTCTCTATCCTCAACAGCTAAACTGTTTGAAGCTACAGAGATGGGGATATGTTCTAAACTGCCTAAAAATACAGGGACGGTGGCACCAGAGACAGAAGTTAAGACTTAACGGTATTTTTCTGCTCTATTTTCTGATATTAATGTAGATGTTTCGCAGCCTTCTCTCTCCCTGGTGTTTCCAGTACCCCATGCTTCACTTCCACAATGTTCTATATTGCCCTTGTTGACCTGCCTTTTACATATATTTTGTTTTAGTAACTCTCCAGTTTCTTGCAAAGGTCATTTCCAGCCTTGACCATTGAAAATACAACACTAAAAAGTTTATTCAGTTCATCTTCAAAGTTTGTATCAATCAGAAGTAAAACCCCTACCTAGCCTTTAGAGCCCCCAGCCGCTAATGGAAGCATGTCAAGTCTTACTTATTGGACTATAATTGGGTATAATTTTCCCGAATGATTAACTTCCATTGCTGTAACTGTCTCTATGGTGATAAACATCAGTTGTGTATCTCTGGTCCACTTCTATATCCTAATCTCTAGAGTTTTATACCAATCCTCCTGCTAGATATTGACCTTGCAATTAGGCACATGCAACTTTAATTCACTGTGTCAAAAAATAACTGGAAAATCTGCCCCTCGTTGCCCCTGCAACTTGTTGAATTTTCCATATCTCCTCATGGCAATCAGAAGCCTGCCCCTCATCCTAGACTTTGTCCTCTCCTGCTTACCTTTCCCAGTTTTCCATCATTGAATCCTGACAATTCTACTTCTTATGTAATTTTCAAGTCATTGCCTTCCCCATTGCCACTAGCTTAGAATAGGACACCATCACTTCTTGCCTGAATTAAAGCAACTGTTGCACCTAACTCATTATTTTATCAGATTTAATAATAAAAGAAATACTTGTCCCTTGTTACACGTTAAGCAATGCATAGGTGAATACGAAAATTAACAGCCCCCTTCTTTGTCTCTTTTATTTCCATTCTCTGAAGTAAAATGTGTTAAATAGGCAGCAGTCTGTTAACTGGTCTTTCTAAATTCAAAATTGCCACACAATATCTATTCTAGACCCCAAAGCCTAAAATGATCCCTTTTGTGATGCAAGTAAGTTGCCTTCTCTTCTGCTTATCTACAGAATAAATGTAAAAATCCTGTAGCAGCGTTGCTTTACTTCCCCTGTAATCTACTATAGATCTCAACACAGTGATTGTTGATAATTATTAATTTTTTCATATGGGTATGTTAAAAAGATTGGTATCTTGTCAATATAGACAACTGGTGATATATATGGACACAATCCCCATTTGTCTTCCTGAAAAGGCAAAGGGAGGGAGAGAACAATGGACAATATTTACTATGTGCCAGACTATATACTAAATGTTTTCCATGATTTTTTTTTTCTTCACAAAAATCCTGGGTGGTAAGGAGTATTGTTACTTTCACTTTCCAACTGAGTATCACATAGAGATAGACCAATTCATCCAAAGTCATCAACTTAATACGAGGAAGCACCATGATTTGAATCTAGTTGTGTCAGGACACAGAGGCTATATACATGAGCATACTATATCCACACTGAAAACAATTCCGTAATTCCCTAAAACTAGTTCTTACTATAGAGGAATAAGGTAGAACCTATGTCTGTGTCAAGCCGCATTTTAGATCTTAAAATGTAGCATGCGAGGATGTTTCTCCTGAGTCATTCAACCAACTAACAAAAATAACATGTGTTTCTCTTTTTGGATCACTTATCCCCTACTATTGATGGCCTTCATTTTTTTTAAGCGTTTGGAATTCTAATCACGTCTCAGCCTTTCCCTGGCACATCTGGTTGAGCTAATGCCAGCACCAAGATAATTACCCCACTTTCACTCTTTCTTTGTTATAGCTACTATCTTCTTATTATTCTGTCATACACATTAACTTCTAAAATTATAATATTTAATTAAATATTCAAATATAGTGGTAAGTGACAAGCTCTTACTATTTTTTTTGAAATAGGAGAACTTTCTAAAGCAAACATGTGCACATGACATGGTTATATCTAAGAACCAGATATTTAAAGATTCAAACTGAATATGTGTCCAAAAATACAAGCTCTAAAGAAAGCATGTTTTTAAATTATGCTATAATTATACAATAATAAGCTTTGAAAGACTAAATGCACACAAATACAATTTTCTTAGATGCTACATGTATGGAAATGTGCTGATTTCAATAAATACTTAACTGAGTTTATGCAGTGTTCAAGGTGCTATGGAAGATTCAAAAAGGAGTAAGACACAGAGGAATCTAACATAACACAGAGCAGAATAGAAAAGGGAGAAAAATGTGATGTAAGTCAAAATTCAGATGAGGGAGGCAGTACTTCTAGTTATTGATATCAGAAGAACTGTCGTGTGTCAGTATCTGAATCTGTCCCAAAAGGATGCGTAAGCTCTTAATGGAGAGAAATATGGAAGAAAGCATTTCAAGCAGAATTGCCTGATTAAATATCGAGAGGTGGGAACGTGAGAGGCACCTTCGAGGAGTGATAAATAAGAAGTTTGGTTTGAGCACAAAATGTATGTAGGAAAAAAAGGAGAATAACCGTAGGAAGTATTAAACTCCATGCCCAGAAGTTTGCACTGCAAGTTTCATGTGTTAGAAAATGTGGGATAGAGAAGTGTAAGTAAAGCTTTATCAAGAAAATAAATCTGGAGCGGAAAGTGAATTAGGATAACATAGAGATAGATGGCAATTACAGAATTCCAGACAAAAAGCAATTGATTGATACAATAATAAATCTTACTTGGTTTTCTACAAGTGCACCTAACTGATCCTCAATACAGCAGCAAGACAGAGATTTTTAAAATGCTTATCTAATCCCCTCGTTTTCATTCTTCCCTTGCATGAAAATGTATGACATGACCTTTGAGGTCCGGCATTGTCTGCCTGGCCCTGGCCTAGCTCTCCCACCACATTTCATGTCACTAGGTTTCAGCTTCACTGATCTTTTGGTTTCTCAAATAGACCAAGCACTTCCCGCCTTAGAACCTCAGCATGCACTATTTCCTTTGTCTCCTCTTTGTCCATTTATCACCTGGCTTGCTACTTTTTTTTCTTCATGCTTCTGTGACCTCCTACCCAAAGTAGAAACTTCTCTGTTATTCTCTGTGTCATCCTCTTTCATGTTTAAATCTATACCACCTAATACAGCTTAACTTTGGGTTGTTTCCAAACCAGATGCTCTTCATCTGTGGCTCCCTACTAGGTCTTAAGTGGCATGAGAACAGTGCCATGTCTTTTATTCCTACAGTCCCTGAGCCTTGCATAAAGTAGGCATTCAGTAAACACTTATTAAATAATGTTAAATATTCTGAAATTGTATGGCAGCCACTGTAATAGTTACTGAAGAGATAGCTTGGAATAAGATAGTATTCTTACGGTCAAGTAGCTAATGGTCTAGAAAAGAGTCAAATATAAAAGCATATTGTTACAACAATATGGGAACAAGAGTAGAGTCAAGCAGAAAAGCCAGTAGAATCTTCTAATTGTTAGGCAAGAAATGATGAGAGATGTTTAAGCAAAGCTACCAGCACTTTTACGGATGAGAGAAAGAATGGAGTCTAGGATGTCACTCTAACTTTTGGATGAAAAGAGAGGGGTAACAGTGGAAAGGAAATAAAGGAGCCATTGAGAAACATTTGAGAAGCAGAACGATAAAAGCTGGCAACTGATTGGACATAAGGTTTTGAGGAAGACAGGATCAAATCATGACTTATTCTTTAAGTATGAGCGATTGCAAGAATGATATTGTTATTACCCAAAATAAAGATTCTAGGAAAAGAAAGGAGGAATATTAATAAAAATGAAAGATATATTCTTTCATTTATTTATTCAGCCATTCATTCGTCCATTTATTTTTATTTTTCAGAAGCAGCGGGTGGGAGTGGGGTGGAGAGCAGGGAGGTTTTGCTATATTGCACAGGCTGGTCTTGAACTCCTGAACTCAATGGGTTCTCCCATCTCAGCCTCCCCAGTAGCCAGGTTTACAGGAACACACAGATAAACCTAGGTGAGATATTCATTCTTAATTTTCACAACCATCTCCCCAAACTTAAAGTTCGTTTTTATAAGGACAGTTTTGAGTTTATTTAAAATAGAAAATTTTGAAGTTTTGACTTGAGAACAACAAGCAGTTGTTCTCAAACAAGTTGTTTTCAAACAGTTTCATCAGCAGTGTCATAAGGTTGAAGAGAACTACCAAAAATAAACACTGAATTAGAGGCTCATCATTTTTTATATGGCTTCATCACCAATTACATCTTAGTCCACCATACCAAGAGATTGGTAAATATGTTTAAAGAGGAGAGATGTTATGCAGGGAGAAATATACTTTAAAAATAAGATTAAAATACATAATTATGACTATTAAAGAAAGTTAATAATTTTGACAAACTTTGGGAATAGGGAGCACTCACTAATGTTCCAATGTTCCAAATAATGAATTTACAGGAAAGGTATGGTTAAAAATAATAAGGTAGCTTTCCAGACACAAAATGAGAATTTCAAATATTATTTTAGAAGAAATGGAAACCAATGTGATGGTTAAGTTGGCTTGAAGTTTCTACAAACATCACTTTGAGCCAATATTCTACCTTCTGAACCTTCCCATTGGCAATGATTTATGTGCATGAATAGTGCTCATGTACACATTCCCAATTTTCTATGGCCACTTGGAAAAAAATGGCCTCAGAATGGTGCCCAGAATTTAATTAAAATTCCCAACTGACTAAACTGACTTCAAATGGTATCATAACTAAACTTACGAAAGCTTTTCTGGAAAGAAATATGGCATTAATTCCAAGTCCCGCCACTATTAATCTTATTTGAACACACCAAACTTCATAATTCATACTGAAGCTGTCTCTACACTTGCATTTTCCAAGCAAAATTTATGTTTGGACAAATGAGCAACTTATTTAAAACGGTCTTAACAGATCAATATACATTTGTATTGATAGGAAATGATTTGCCAAAAAATTGTTGAGACAAAACAAAGACCTTTGTTGAGTAAACTTGACATGTTCAAACATATATGCAAAGTTTTCAAAAAATAATTTCCATTTACCTAGTCGCCAGTGAGATTTTACCACGTGACTAATAATATTGCTGGGGATATTACTTAACAGTATAACAACAAAATAGGAATGCAATATATCTTAGTAGAAAAAAATATGAACTTTTAAAGCAGATAGATCTAGATTAAAATATACGTTCTGCCACTTATTTATTGTGCAACTTTGGACAAAAAAATGTAAGTTCTTTATACCTCAGACTCCTGTGTTTTCAAAAGAGATTATGTCACTGATATCATATCACTGTCACAAGAATCAAATGAGCTAATGAAACAAATGCAACTAGAACAACTACTATATATTAATTAAAAAAATAAACTAGGATAGTGCCTGATACAAGGTACACAGTAGAGAGATTTTTGGTAGTTTTTTATTTATTTTACATGAAAAAAATAGCCACGTGGCTATTGAAAAATGACTATTTTTTCTTGTACTTTTGGCATTTGCTTCTGTACAGATGGAACTCTGGGTCAAAGCTCTAGGAAACACTGCGAAGCCTTCATTTATCATCATTCTTCTTCCTTCTGTTCATATTTAATTTATACTTCCATCTTTAAATTCACTTTATTGAAGCTCCTTGTATATTCCAAAGTAGAATTAAATTTATTTCCTCCCAAATGCCTTCCCTACATCATGAGAAACCACTTACTGATTCATTTCATCTCATTGCTATATTAATCTCATCTATCCCCCACACATGCTCAAGTTTTTGAGGATGGAGCCAGTGTTTAACTGACTTGTTCCCCAAGTGCACTATGTTGATATAAGTGCTGCTGAGAGATGGCACAAAATTGACATATTGGGACTGTAGTGGAGGGGTAAGTTGTGTGGGCTAATGAAGGGAGTCCTGAATTGCTAGTTGTATGCCACTTAATTTGTTTTATGACAATTGATAAATCACTTAATCTTGAAGAATTTTCTTTTCTATAACAACAGGCTAAAATATCCATTCTGTGTGGATTGATTTAGAGATTATGTGAACCATACATTATACAAAATAGGTGAGGAGTCCGATTTTCCAGTGGAAAAATCTGCAGGCATCATATTTTATTTAATTTTTTCAAATTGACATAAAATTCTATATATGTATTATGTACAGCATGTTTTGAAGTATATATACATTGTGGAATGGTGAAATCTAGCTAATTAACAACTGCATTATCTCACATATTTGTAATTTTTGTGGTGAGAACACTTAATATCCTCTCTTTTGGCATATTTCGATAATACATGATATCATCATTAACTATAGTCATTGTGCTATACAATGGAGCCCTTGCACTTATTTTTCCTATCTGACGAATTATGTATCCTTTGATGAACACCCTCTCAACTCCTCCTTCCTTCTAACCACCTCAGCTTCTGGGAACCACCATTCTACTCTCTACTTCTATGAGATTAACTATTTTAGATTCCACATATGAGTGAGAACATGTGGTATTTGACCTTCTGAGCTTGTCTTATGTTACTGAACATAATGTTCTCCATGCTCATCTATGTTGTTGCAAATTACAGGATTTCCTACTATTTTAATGGCTGAATAGTAATTCATTTTGTATATACACCATTGTATTTTTTCCATTCTTTTAAAAATATTTTATTTTAATAAATTTAGCGGTACACGTGGTTTTTGGTCACATGAATGAATTGTATAGTGGTGAAGTCTAGGATTTTAGTGAACCTATCACCTGAGAATTGTACATTCTACCCAATAGGTAGTTTGTCAACCCTCCCTCAACCTACAACCTTTCCCCCTTCTGAGTCTCAAATTTATCGTCAATACTACTCTGTATTTCTTTTCATATTCATAGCTCAGCTCCCACTTACAAGTGAGAATACGCAGTATTTGGTTTTCAATTTCTGAGTTTCTTCACTTAGAATAATGCCCCTCATTTCCATCTAAGTTGCTGGAAAAGACATTATTCCATTCGTTTTTTTATGGCTGAGTAGTGTTCCACAGTGTATATATATCACATTTTCTTTACCCACTTATTGGTTGATTGGCACTTAGGTTGAATGCAATCTGCAGTTGTGAATTTTGCTGTGATAAACACACACTTGCAGATGTCTTTTTGCTATAGTAACTTATGTTCCTTTAATTGGATACCCAGTACTGGGATTGCTGGATTGAATGGTAGATCCAATTATAGTTCTTTGAGAAATCTCCATATTGGTTTCCATAGAGGTTGTACTAATTTACATTCTCACTGGAAGTGGAAAAGTGTTCCTTTTTCACTGAATCCGTGCCAACATCTATTGTTTCTTGACTTTTTAATAATGGCCATTCTGGCTGGGGTAAGGTGGCATCTCATTGTAGTTTTAATTTGCAATTCCCTAATGATTATGGATTTTGAGCATCTTAAAAATATGTTTGTCGGCCAATTGTGTATCTCCTTTTGAGAAATGTCTATTCATGTCTTCTTCCACTTTTAATAGAAGTATTTTGGTTTTCTTCTTACTGATTTCCTTGAGATCCTTGTGGATTATGGATGTTAGTCATTTGTCAGATGCATAATTTGCAAATATTTCCCCAATTCTCTAAGTTGTCTGTTTACTCTGATGATATATCTTTTGCTGTGCAGAAGCTTTTTAGTTTAATTAGGTCCCATTTTTAAATTTTTGCTGCATTTGCTTTTGGGGGTCTTAGTCATTAATTATTTGCCTAGATCCATGTCCAGAAGAGTTGTCCCTGTGTTTTTCTCTAGAATTTTATGGTTTTGGGTGTTTGATTTAAATCTTTATCTTGAATTAATTTTTGTACATGTTGAGAGATAGGGATCCAGTTTCATTCTTCCACATGTGGCTATTCAATTTCCCAGCACCATTTATTGAAAAGGATGTCTTTTCCCCAGTTTATGTTTAGGTATGTCTTGTCAGTGATTCATTAATTTTAAGTATTTGGCTTTATTCCTTGTTTCTCTATTCAGTTTCATTGGTCTATGTATCTACTTTTATACCAGTACCATGTTGTTTTGGTTACAATAGCCTTGTACTATAATTTGAAGTCAGGTGATGTAATGCCTCTAGATTTATTCCTTTTGCTTAGAAATGCTTTGGCTATTTGGGCTCATTTTTAGTTCCATAAGAATTTTAGGATTGTTTTTTCTAATTTTGTGAAAAATGACATTTATATTTTGATAGGAATTGCACTGAATCTGTAGTCTGCTTTGGGCACTGTCGTATTTTTTTATTTTATTCTTCCAATCCATGAACATGGGATGTATTTCCATTTGAGTCATCCATGATTCCTTTCAACAAAGTTTTGTAGTTCTCCTTGTAGAGATCTGTCACCTTATTGGTTAAATATATTCCTAGGTTTTCTTTTTTGTAACAATAGTAAAAGGGATTGGGTTTTTAATTTGATTATCACCTTGGTTGTTGTTGGTGTATAGCAGTGCTGATTTATGTACATTGATTTTGTAACCTGAGACTACTAAAATCCTTTATCAGATCTAGGAGTATTCTGGAGGAGACTGTGGGGTTTTTCTAGGTAGAATTTTATATCATTGGCAAACAGATAGTTTGAAGTCATTTTTTCAATTTGGATATCCTTTATTTCTTTCCCTTGGCCTGATTTCTCTGGCTAGAATCTCCAGTACTATGATGAAAAGAAGTGGCAAAAGTGAGCATACTTGTCTTGTTCCAGTTACTGGGGGAAATGCTTTCAATTTTTCCCTGTTCAGTATGATGTTTGCTGTGGGTTTGTCATATATGGTTTTTATTATTTTGAGGTGTGTCCTGTCTATGCCTATTTTGTTGAAGGTTTTCATTATAATGGTATGCAAGATTTTACTGAATGATTTTTCTGCATCTATGAGATGATCATACGGTTTTTGTTTTCAATTCTGTTTATGTGATGAATCACATTTATTAACTTGTGTATGTCAAATCATCCCTGCATCCCTGGAATGAAACCTACTTGATCATGGTGATTTTTTTTTATGTGTTGTTGAATTTGAATTGCTAGTATTTTGTTGAGAATTTGTTTCATCTATATTCGTCAGGGATATTGATCTGTAGTTTCCTTTTTTTATTATGTCCTTTCCTGGCTTTGGCATCAGGGTAATATTAGCTTCATAGAGTTAGGGAGGATGTCCTTATTCTCAATCTTTTGGAATAGTTTCAGCAGAATTGGTACTTATTCTTTGAATATCTGGTCTAATGTGGCTGTGATTCCATCTGGTCCTGAGCTTTGTTTGTTGGCACTTTTATTATGATTATTCTGATTGATTAAATCCCACTGCTTGTTATTTGTCTATTCAGAATTTATATTTCTTCCTGATTCTTTCTGGCAGGGTTGAGTATTTACAGGAAAGCATTAATTTTCTCTAGATTTTCTAGTTTTTGTGCATACAAGGTGTTCACAGTAGTCTCAGATGATCTTTAGTATTTCTGTAGTGTCAGTTATAATGTCTACTGTGGTATTTCTATTTGAGTTTATTGGAATCTTATCTCCTTTTCTTGCTTAATTAAGCTAGTGGCCTATCAATTCTGTTCATCTTTTCAAAGAACCTACTTTTTATTTCATTGATCTTTTGTATTGCTTTATTTGTTTCAATTTCTTTTACCTTTGCTCTGATCTTTGTTATTTCCTTTCTTCTGCTAACTTTCAGTTTGGCTTGTTCTTGTGTCTGTAGTTCCTTGGGGTGTGATATTAGGTTGTCAATTTTTGATCTTTCAGACATTCTCATATAGGCATTTAGAACTATAAACATTCGTCTTAGCACTGCTTTTGTTATAACCCAGAAAATTTGATAACTTTTGTCACTGTTGTCATTCATTTTGAAAATTTTTATTTCTTCATTTTAACTTTCTTGTTGACCCAAAAATCATTCAGCAGCAGATCGTTTAATTTCCATGAATTTATATAGTTTTAGGAATTCCTTTTGGAATTGATTTCTAGTATTATTTTGCTCTGATCTGAGAAGATATTTCATATGATTTTGATTTTTTAAAATTCATTGAGACTTGTTTGCTGGCATACTATATGGTCTATCTTGGAGAATGTTCCAAGTGCTGATGAGAAGAATGTGTATTCTGAAGTTCTTGGGTAGAATATTCTGTAAATTTCTGTTAGGTCCATTTGTTCTAGAGTGCAGTTTAAGTCCAGTGTTTTTTGTTTGTTTGTTTGTTTGTTTCTACCTTAATGATCTGTTTAATGCTGTCAACGGAATGTTGAAGTTTCCCACTATCGTTGTGTTGCTAGCTCTTTTCCTAGGTCTAGCAGTAATTGCTTTATGAATATGAGAGCTTCAGTGTTAGGTGCTTATACATTATGATTGTTATATCTTCTTGTTTAATTGATCCTTTTATCATTACATAATGAAATTATTTGTCTTCTTTTTATTTACTGTAGTAGCTTTCAAATATTTTTGATCTGAGAATTGCTAATCCTGCTTATTTTTGGTTTCCATGTGCATTAAATATCTTTCTTCATCCCTTTATTTTGAGTCTATAAGAATATTTATGAGATAATTGTATCTCCTGAAGACAGCAGATATGTGTGATTCTGCAAATCTGTAGCTTTTAAGTGGAGCATTTAGACAATTTACACTCAATGTTAGTGTTGAGATGTGAGGCAATCTTCCAGTCTTCATGTTGACTGTACCTAGTGATTTTGTTTTCTTCATCGCATTATTTTTTTATAAGCCCTTATACATTTTATGCTTTCAGGAGTTTCTATTCTGGTGCATGTTTTGTTTCAAAGTTTAGTATTTCTTTTAGCATGTCTTGTATGCCTGGTCAAATATTAACAACTTTTTTCAGCATTTGCTTTTCTAAGAAAGACTTTATTTTTCTTTCATTTGTGAAACTTAGTTTTGCTGGTTACAAAATTCTTGGCTGAAAGTTATTCTGATTAAAGAGACTAAAGATAGGACCCTAATCCTTTCTGGCTTGTAAGGTTTCTACTAAGAAGTCTGTCGTTAATCTGATAGGTTTTCCTTTATAGGTTACCTGGTGCTTTTGTCTCAGTGCTCTTAGAATTCCTTCCTTCATGTTGACCTTATATAGCCTGATGAATATATGCCTTGGTGATGTTCTCTTTACAATGGAGTCTCCAGGAGTTCTTTGAGCTTCTTGTATTTGGATGCATAAATCTTTAGCAAGGCTGGAGAGTTTTCTTCAATTATTCCCTCAAATAGGTTTTTCAATTTTTTTTTCTACTTCTTTAGGAACACCTATCTTTCTTAGGTTTGGCCGTTTTACATAATCCCATATTTCTTGGAGACTTTGTTATTTAAGTCTTTTTAAAAATTTTTGTCTGATAGGGATAATTTGAAATCCTTGTTTTCAAGCTCTGAAATTCTTTCTTCTACTTGGTCTAGTCTATCATTACAATATTCCACTGGAGTTTTTAGTTCTCTAAGTGTGTCTTTCATTTCCATTGTGTTTTTATTTAAAATATCTATTTTTAAAATATTAAAATATTTAAAATATCTTTTATTAAAATATGTATATCTTCTAAAAGTTAAAAAACCTTTCATTTATATCCTGATTTTATTTCTTTTTTTTATTTTTTTAAGGTGAATTTTTATTTTTTATTACACTTTAAGCTTTAGGGTACTTTATGTTGATTTTTCACCCTTCTCTTGTATCTCCTTGAGTAGCTTCCTAATCAACCGTTTGAATTCTTTATGTGTTACTTCATTGATTTTATCTAGGTTTGGATCCACTGCTTGTTACTGTGATCTTTTGGGGGTATAATAGGACCCAGTTTTGGCTGGGCGCAGTGGCTCATGCCTGTAATCTCAGCACTTTGGGAGGCCGTGGCAGGTGGATCACCTGAGGTCAGGAGTTTGAGACCACCCTGGCCAACATGGTGAAACCTTGTCTCTAATAAAAATAATAAAAAAAAATTATCTGGGCATGGTGGCGCATGCCTGTAATCCCAGCTACTTGGGAGGCTGAGGCAGGAGAATCACTTGAAACCAGGAGGCAGAGGTTGCAGTGAACCAAGACCGCACCATTGCACTCCAGCCTGGGCAACAAGAACCAAACTCCATCTCAAAAAACAAAAACAAAACAAAACAAAAAAATAGGACCTAGTTTTTTCATATAGACATAATTATTTTTCTAGTTCCTCCTCATTTGTGTAGACTGTTTCTTCTAATTACTTTTGTATTTTTTGATTCAATTGTTTTTGTTCATATTTTTTTCTCACCTTGAGGATGTGACTTTAATGTTTATAGTTTATTGTCACCTAGTTTTGGCTCTGGATGCTTTTAGTGGTGAAAATTTGTATAAGTCCCTTGCTTATAGAGAATCTTTGAACAATGGTTTTCTCAGATGCTGGTTGTAGTAGTGATGTGATGGCTGTTTGAGCAGATTACCTGTCTCCTGTGAGGCTGGAATGGCAGAAGTCTCATGAACTTTAATCTCATTCCCACTTAAAAAATTTCTCCATTATTTTCTTCATTGGGTGGAACATTTCAGGATTCAGACCATTAGGAGGTGCCCACAGGTAAAAATCCTGCTGTGGCCAAATGCAACGCCCAAATAGTAGGCAGAGCTCCCAGGCTTGACAGAGACAGCTGGGGAAGCTCTCAGTGAAATGTACTGAGTGAAGTCTTTTCAGGGGGAAAAGAGGCAGCCAACACAGCTCTCCTTCCAGGCCAGCTGGAAAGCAATCTGCCTCCCAGTCACACTCCTGACCCAGTATTCTGGCTATTCAGATCAGACAGGAGCCTGTTTCCATCTGGATGAACGCTGTCATTCCACGTGGAGAGTGATTGTGACTCTAGCTCTTCTGCAAGCCTGAACCTAGAGGGCACTCCTCCTGCGGAGTGCCACCTGAAAGTATTCAAGAAAGGCTGTCTACAAATGCACCCATGCTAAGTTCCTGTGGGAGCAGGCCCAGTTGTGTCTGCAGTGGTGGATGAGGAGAAGTTTACTTCTCCAAGACCCTTCATGAGCACCGGGGGTGCCTGACTGTTGGGGTAGTGCTGGTGACTTTCCTCACTGAGCCCAGTACTGCACCTGCACCTCTGCTGAATGAAACTTCCCACGGGTAGAGACTTCAGGGACTCAAGACCTGCAGTCTGTTTTTGTTTTTTGTTCCCCACCCCACCAACCACCACAGGGTTACCCATTAATGTGGTATACTCTGCCTTCCCCTAGGAGTAGCAGTCTCCGAAGGACAGACTACTGTGAATCCTGCTGCTCCTCCATGTCTAGTGGCCCAGTGGGTCTGCCACACTCCAGGCTGTTGCTAGGGCAATGGTGATAGCTGAGGTTGCACAAAAGTTTTTTTTTTTTTTTTTCCTTCCTGAGTGCTGTGTTATTGTGTCTGCAGATGTTGTAATAGGCTTTTCCAGTTGGCCTCCAGCCAGAAGGTGATGCTTGTAAAAAAGCATGAAATGTGGTGGTAGCAGTGGAATTTGTGCTTGCGTTAAGTTGCCCAAGGGAGGCATTCTTATGCCTCAGGCATTGGACAGGGCCATGGAACACCCATATGATCCTGTCTCTGTCCATTCTGTTATGCCACCAGTGCAGGTTGAAGCACAAAGCTGGTGGGGGCTTGGTCAGGTAAGTCCACACTCTGGCTCCCCATGTGCAGGTGCAAGCAGCAGCCACACTGGGGGTTAAAGGGCAGTTCCCTGACCACCAGGGTAATGTTCCAGGAAACAGCACAGCTGCCTTTGCTGCACAAAAGAATCCTATGCAGCCATAAAAAATGGTGAGTTCATGTCCTTTGTAGGGACATGGATGAAGCTGGAAACCATCATTCTCAGCAAACTATCGCAAGGACAAAAAACCAAACACTGCATGTTCTCACTCATAGGTGGCAATTGAACAATGAAAACACATGGACACGGGAAGGGGAACATCATACACCAGGGCCTGTTGTGGGGTGGGGGGAGGGTGGAGGGATAGCATTAGGAGATATACCTAATGTTAAATGAAGAGTTAATGGGTGCAGCACACCAACATGGCACATGTATACATATGTAACAAACCTGCACGTTGTGCACATGTACCCTAAAACTTAAAGTATAATTAAAAAAAAAAAGAATCCACACAGGGAGCAGGGGGTAACAGGCATTTACACACATTTTCTTTATCCATTCATCAGTTGATGGACTCTTAGGTTGATTCCATCTCTATCTTGGCTATTTTGTATAGTGCTGCAATAAATATGGAAGTAGGAAGCATATTTTATATTATATGTAGAAAGGTATTTGGCTACAATCTACACAAGTGGATATACTTAGATATTGGCAGATACTTAAATAATTATGGGGTTTTCAATAAATGTATTTTTCAGACTTTGAAAATTTCAAATAAGCAATAATCCTTTCATTTTTATAAGATAGTTGTTCAGATCTCCTTCAAAAGAAAATTAAGTGTGTCATACTAATATTATACCTGATCTAATAACCTCATTGTAGAACAAACTTGTTCTACCTTATTGCTACAATGATATTTTTCTTCTTTTCTTAATATATTCAACTGCTTATTGAAAAGTTGAACTGAATGTTTAGTCAATTCAAACAACCATTAAAATCCAGAAACTTTTTTGATTTTTCTCTACCTGAACCAGTTGACAGCGTTCTGTGTTTAATTCACCCTTTCTGTTGGTTTATGTTAGTTCCAATATAAGTCTTCAATTTGAATATTTCAATTCATTTTACCACTACAAAATCTGCAAAGTAGTTGAATGCAACCATAAAGGAAACCAGTACACAAAGTATTTTTTGTTTACGTTTTTACACATCCTTGACATTTTATTTTGATTTTCAAATTGAAATTTGATGATTTGGTCCACTTGTTTAGTGTTCTAGTGTCCTTACCTTTCATTCTCCTTGATTTCTCGATTTTTTGTGCATATCACTAAATCAATACTAGAGATTTAAAAAACACATAAAGGTCTTCCAAAATATAACCACACTGCAACTTTTTGTTGGATTTGTATATCGTGAAAATTAACAATCAGTTGAACTGAAGGACTCTCTAATTTCCCAAAACAAAAAAAATATATAGAATTCCACACTTAAACATATGAGATAATATAGTCTATCAGGATTTTCACAACAATTATATAATTTAAACATCAAATCTGCATGAGATACAGAGGGTGAGAATTAATCATTCACTATCCATATGAGGAAACAAATTTTAAAAAGTGAAATGACTGGCTCAAGGTCATATATATTTACAGAGCCCGAATTAGAAACTCAAATTTTATAACTGCTGCTGCCAATGAATCAAATAACTTCTAGTTTTAATGCTTATAATTAATTAATTTCTTAGGAAAAATAAATTACATATATATTCATTACATCATCAAATTACCAATGAAACACCCGTTTTAAAATTTACTGATTTCCAATATGGATTTTTACACATCAAATGAAATCCTGGAAAAATAATTTCTTCAACATTTATTAAGTACCTGCCATGTTCCAGAAAGTGTTCTTGGCATAAGTAAACAGTTGTTATGAAAATGACAGAAGTTTTCTGCTTTCATGGAAGTTTTATCATAGTGGTATGATAGACAATAAACCACTGAGAAAATGCATGCTAGAATATTTGACATACACTTTTGCTTCTTTTTCTGAAAAAAGTATATGAATATGGTTTAAAAATGACATATCACCCTAAAATGAACAATTCATCCATAACCTCTGAGGAAAATAAAGCAAAATAAGAAATAGGGAGAAACAGGAGGTACTAAAAAAGAAAGCCTGGTTGAGAGCTAAAATTTGACAAAAAAAAAGGCTGTATAAAACTTGGGTATAAGAGAGGAAGAGCATTCTACACTAAGGAAGTTGAAAGTACAAAGGCCCCGAGGTGGCAATGCACTCAATTTGTCCAGGGAATAGTATTGAGTCCAATGTGACTGCAGCAAAGTAAACAAGGAAAAGACGTATAGGAGAGGAGATCAGACAGTTTGAGATGAGCTTGATCATGTATGGTTACATTTTATTCTAATTGCGATGGAAAGCCAGTTAATGCCTGGCAAAATCTAACTTCTGTTCTACAAGGACCATTCAGGAAATTAACATTAAGAATGTGGAAGAAAAAAGTCTAGTTAGAAGGCTGCTGCAATAGTCCAAGAAAGAGATAATGGTGGTTTGGAGTGGGCTAGTAGAGGTGGCTGTGAGAGAAGTGAAAATACCTGAGATAGAATCAACACAGTGCAGAAATTGTGTTTCGTTAATCTTCTTATCCTCAGTGCATAGTACAATACCTGACACACAAGTAGTGCCTGATAACTGTAATTTGAAGAAATAGTCTGATAGATTTCCCACAGCAAAAGTCATCCATAACACTTGAAATGTGTTCTGTGATTCTTTGCGCTTTAACAAAACTGAAGCATAGATGTATTAATATTGTTTGTTACTATCAGAAAAGAACGTGGATATTCATTTTATAGGAACCGAAACTCTAGATGTCGGATAAGTCTTACAAATGATCTGGGAGGCCAAATTGCACTTCCTCTTCATTCATGCGTATTAATGCCAAGCATCATTATGCTCTAGAGACATTCCTACCTAGGACTTTGGAAATACTGAATAATAATGAATTGCTACAGGTGATGCTCATCAAGTGCAGGAATAAGATGCTAACCCCAAGGAATAAGTCATGAAGCATAAACTCATGAAGGAAAATGCCTGTGTCTTATCTCCATACACAGAAGAGTGCCTTATGCATATTAGCCACTGGCTTCATGTTTGTTGAGCCGAATGGCAGAAATACTACTAGGCAATTTTCATATATCTAGATTAGTAGAGAAATAAATATGTGTAGGAAGGAGGTAAATTTAACTATGATAAATTATAAATCATAAAGGAGACTCATCTATAAAGAATTTGAGAGTAAACTGTGGTGTCTTCTAGTGCCATCTACTGCCAAATTTTTGAGATACAAAATAAGCCTAATTGATAATATTTCACCTTTTTAATGATATGGATACTTAAGATTAAGATGCAGCTACCTTTTCCAGTACTGCCATTAATTTTGCACCCACTCAGGACAATAAAATCCCTCATATATGTATGTATAGAACAGGATTCCTTAAAGCACCATTGACATTATGGGTCAGATAATTTTCTGTTGTAGGGAGCACTACTGTGCTTTGCAGGATGTTTGGCAGCATCCTCGGCTTCTACACATAAATGCCAGTAGCAACTCCACCCACCCCAGTTGTGACATCCAAAAAAAGTCTCCGGACTTTGCAAACTGTTCCCTGTGGGGCAAAATCTTCCCAATTTAGAAACATTAGTATAGGAAAAGAAAATTAACATCCATGCATTTGTTAATCCATTCTATAAATTGTTTTAATACCTGCTGTGTACTAAGGATAAAGCTAGCTTCTAGGAATACATTGGTGAATGAAAAAGATGCGGTCTCTGCCTTAATGGACCTCCCAGTAGAAAAGATAAGCCACCAAAGTGCAGAAATACATGCATAAGTTTAAAGTGCAGTAAATTCTATGAAAGAAAATACAATGACCTAGATAAAGTGGTCAGGGAAAGCTGCTCAGAAGAGGTTACATTTAAACTCAGGCATGAAGCATGAGAAAAAGACAACCAAGGGAAGAGTGAGAAAGAGTGTCCCAGTCGGAGAGAACATCAAGAGCAAAGGACTTGCTATGAGCCAGCTAGTGTGCTACTTCCCTTCCAAGAATTATTTTATGTATGTAGAGTAACTATATGTCCTTGCTGCTCACAGCATTCCCATTTATACCTGCGGTCCTGCCACGGTTATATGGATGATAAACTTTATCACGACCCTACATTTAAATGTTACAACATTTGAGATGGGTTTGGTTATTATCTCTGTGTTACACAGAAAACTGAGCCCCAACTAGGTTAAGTAATGTATGCAAGTTCACAAAGCTAGCAAGTGACAAAACCGGATTGTAAGATGTGTTCTATTTGACTCCAAAGGCAATGCTTTTGACAACTTTGCTTTGGCACTTCCCATGGGAAGAGTAGGGATGCAATAAGATAGAAATACTAAGTAGACATGAGGTAGCAATTGTAAAAGTGATTATGTAAAACACAATAAATATTTGAAGAAATGATAGGCTATGCAAAGAGATCAAAGTTGGAGTTGGGATGATTTGAGCCTGATGGCATTAGTGAACTATCAGGACCTGATCAAGCATCCACAATAGATGGGAAGCAGCTTCCTTACAAGTCAAAATGGGTTCTGGAGGCCTTATTCAACAGGCACCTGGTTGATGCTGGCAGCAGCATACAATGAAAAAAATATCCCTGAGGAGTAATCAGAAATGGAAGTTCAATTTCTGGCTATGACATATGTAAGATATGGGACTTAAGTGAGTTTCAACCACTGAGGTTAATTTCCCATCTGCACAATAGAGATAAGGGCACAAATTCTACCTAAATCAAGGTTTGTCTAGAGGCTCAAATAAGATAATGCCTGTGAGTGTGCTGTGTAAACTAGGAAGTATAATTTGCCATTCTATTAAAAGCAGCCTTTTTGAGCTGTTAGCATTTCTGCTGCTATAGTCAGGCATATTCTGTCTTTTCATCCCTTGAATTCTTCAAAAGAGCTAAAGAAATGTGATTTCTTCGGAGGAGAAAGATGGATATCACACTTTTGAACTGTCTGATCTGATACACTAGTCTGGGTCTCCAGGAGCTTGATGAAACTGAATGTCATTATGTCAGCATTTCTCATTTTATTTTGGCCCTCACAAGCTCAACCACAACACAAATTACTAAATGGCTCTCACAGTGCTTTCTAGTTGGGGAAAGGACTAAACAAAAGAAAAATAAAATAACATAAAATAAAATAAATCACTCTATTTTAGAGACAAATTTTCAGATATCGAGTTGGCATTGCAAGGGCACTTTTTACATCCATCTGTGCCTGTCTGCTTATACAATAAACACTTATTGTTTGAGATTTCAAGTATTTCAAAAATATTTCCAAAAATACTGTGCTTCTTTGACCTTTAATAAACCGTTCAAAAGCCACTTGCAATGACAGAAAAATAATAAAAAATGCTTATTCCTTTACCTCCTTTTCTTTTCACAAGAAGTCATATTGTGAAAAGGCTATATTTTTTAAAGAGTAGGACAAAAATAAGATGGGACTTATTTGGAAGGTGGTTTCAAGTGACGGTCTAATTTATGTGCTGCATTTTTTAATAATAGTAGCTTTACTTATTTTAAATTTTTGTGGGTACATAGTTGGTGTATATATTTATGGGTACATGAGATGCTTTGATACAGGCATGCAATGCATACTAATCACATCATGGGAGATGGGGTGTTCATCCCCTCAAGTATTTATTATTGGTGTTACAAACAATCCAATTCTACCCTGTTAGAGTAAAATATAAAATCAAAATATTGACAATAGTCACCTTGTTGCGCTATACAATAGTAAGTCTTATTCATTATTTCTAACTAAGATTTTTGTGACAATTAACCATTCCACCTTCCCCTCAAACCCATACTACTCTTTCCAGCCTCTGGTAACCATCCTTCTACTGTCTGACTCCATGGGTTTAATTGTTTTAATGTTTAGATCACACAAATAAGTGAGAACATGGAATGTTTGTCTTCTTGTGCCTGGCTTATTTCATGTAACATAATGATCTCCAGTTCCAACCATGTGGTTGCAAATGACAGGAGCTCATTGTTTTTTATGGCTAAATAGTACTCCATGGTGTAAACATACAACATTTTCTCTATCCATTCAGCTGTTGATGGACACTTAGGTTGCTTCCAAATCTTGGCTATTGTGAACAGTGCTGCAACAAACATGAGCGTGCAGATATGTCTTTGGGACACTGATTTCCTTTCTTTTTACTATATACCCAGCAGTGGGATTGTTGGATCATACTTTTAGTTTTTTTGAGGAACCTCTAAACTGTTCCCCATAGTGATCATACTAATTTGCATTCCCACCAACAGTGTACAAGGGTTCCCTTGTCACCGTATCTTTGCCAGTATTTATTATTGCCTGACTTTTGGAGAAAAGCCATTTTAACTGGGGTGAAATAGTATCTCATTTTAGTTTTTATTCGCATTTCTCTGATAATCAATGATGTTGAGCACCTTTGTGTATGCTTGTTTGCCACTGGAAAGTATTCTCTTGATAAATGTCTATTCAAATTATTTGCCCAGTTTTTGATAGTATTATTATATTTTTATTCCATAGAGTCATTTCTGTTGCTTACAAGTTCCAGTTATTAATCCCTTGTCAGATGGGTAGTTGACAAATATTTTCTCCCATTCTGTGGGTTGTCTCATCACTTTGTTCATTGTTTCCTTTGCTGTTCAGAAGCTTTTTAACTTGATGTGATCCCGTTTGTCTATTTTGCTTTGGTTGCCTGTGTTTGTGGGGTATTACTCTTGTAATTTTACCCAGATCAAAGTCCAGGAAAGATTCCCCAAAGTTTTTCTATAATAGTTTCATAGTTTGAGGTCTTACATTTAATTCTTTAATCCATTGTTTATGTTTTATATATGGCAAAGAATAGGGGTCTAGGTTCATTCTTCTGCATGTGAATGTCCAGTTTTGTGAGCATCATATATTGAAGGGACTGTGTTTTCCCCAGTGAATGTTCTTGGCACCTTTATCAAAAAATGAGTTCACTGTAGGTGTGTGGGTTTGTTTCTGGGTCCTCTATTCTGTTCCATTGGCATATGTGTCTGTTTTTATGCCAGTACCATGCTGTTTTGGTTACTATAGCTCTGTAGTTTAATTTGAAATCAGGTAATTATTCCTCCAGTTTTGTTCTTTTTGCTCAGGATAGCGTTGGCTATTCTGGATCTTTTGTGGTTGCATATAATTATTTGATTTTTTTTTCTGTTTTTATGAAGAATGTCATTGATATTTTGATAGGTATTTTCAGTCTACATGTGTTTTTAGAGGTGAAGTGTGTTTCTTGTTTGCAACAAGTCATTGGGTCTTGTTTTTGTATGCTTTCAGCCAATCTATGTCTTTTGATTAAAGAGTTTAGTCTATTTACATTAAATGCTATTATTGATAACTAAGGACTTACTCCTGTCAATTTGTTTTTTGATTCTGATTGTTTTGTGGTCTTCTTTCTTTCTTTCCATCCAGCCTTCCTTTTACTGAACATGATTTCAAGTGGCGATATGATTTAGTTTCTCGCTTTTTAATTTTTGTGAATACATTATATGGTGTTTAGTTTGAGGTTCCCATGAGACTTGCAAATACTATCTTAACACCCATTATTTTAACCTGATAACAACCTAACACTGTTTGCATAAACAAACAAGCAAGCCAAAAAAAGTAATTAAAACTCTATGCATTAACTTTATTTTTCCACTTAACTTGTTGTTGTTTCTATTTATATCTTATTATACTATGTCTTGAAAAGTTGTCATAGATATTGTTTTTGATTCATTCTTTGTTTAGTTTTTTTTTTTTTTACTTAGGATAATGGTATGTTACACACTACAGTTACAGTATTATAATATTTTATTTTTCCCATGTACTGTTACCAGTGAGTTTTGTATCTTCAGGTGATCTCTAATTGTTCATTAATGTTATTTTCTTTCTGATCAAAATACTTCCCTTAGCATTTCTTGTAGAAAAGGTCTGGTGTTGATGAAATCCTTTTTTTTAATCTGGTAATATATTTATTTCTCCTTCATTTTTGAAGGATATTTTTCACCAGATATACTATTCTAAGGTAAAAGGGTTTTTTGTTGTTGTTTTGTTTTCTTTAGCACTTTAAATATGTCATGCCATTCTCACCTGGCCTGTAAGATTTTCACTGAAAATCCTGCTGCCAGACGTATTGGAGCTCCACTGTATGTTAGTTGCTTATTTTCTCTTGCTGCTTTTAGGATCCATTCTTTATGCTTGACCTTTAGGAGTTTGATTATTAAATGCCTTAAGGTCTTCTTTGGGTTAAATCTTCCTGGTGTTTTATAACGCTCTTGAACTTGGATATTGCTATCTTTCTGTAGGTTTAGAATGTTCTCTATTATTATTCCTTTGAAAAAACTTTCTACCACTATCTCTTTCTCTACTTATTTTTTAAGGTAAAAAACTCCTGGATATTTGCTTTTCATTGATTTTCTAGATTCTATATCCATGCTTCATTGATTTTTATTCTTTTTTCTTTTTTTCTCCTCTGTGTATTTTCAAGCCCACTAATTCTTCTGCTTGATACATTTTGCTATTAAAACACTCTGATGCATTCTGCATTATGTCTATTGAATTTTCAGCTCCAAAATGTCTTCTTCTTTGTAATTATTTCAATCTATTTATTAAACTTATCTTTCCTTCTCTGTGTTATATTGAATTTTTTTGAGTTTCATCAAAACAGCTATTTTGAATTCTCCATCCAAAAAGTCACATATCTCTGTTTCTCAAGGATTGGTCCCTGGTGACTTAGTTTATTTGGTGATGTCATGTTTTCCTGGATGGTCTTGATTCTTGCAGATGTTAGTCTGTGTCTGGGCATTGAAGAGTTAAGTATTTATTGTAGTCATCACTGTGTGGGTTTGTCTGCCCCAGTCCTTCTTAGGAAGGCTTTCCAGATATTTGAAAGGACTTGCATATTGTGATCTAAGCTGTATCTGCTTTAGGGGGCATTCCAGGTCCATTAATACAGTGGTTCTTACAGACTCATAGAAGTACAACTTTGATTGTCTTGGATAAGATCTGAAGTATTCTCTGGCTTACAAGACCAAGACTCTTGTTTTCTTTATTTTTCTTCAAACAATCAGAGTCCCTCTCTCCATTCTGAACAACCTGAAGCTGGAGGTGGAGTAACACAAGTACCCTTTTGGCCACCAGTACTAGGACTGCATGGTGTCAGACCTGAAGCCAGCACAGCACTGGTTCTCACCCAAGGTCCACTGTAACCACTCCCTGGCTACATCATATGATCCCTCAAGGACCTAGTGCTCTACAATCAGCACATGGCAAAGCCCGCCAGGCCTGTGTTTTTTCCTATTGGGCAGCATATTCTCCCAGGCCCTGTGGGTTCAAAGTTGCTATCTGGGAGCTAGGAACTAGAGTCAAAAATCTTAGACACCTACCTGGTGTTCTATTGTAGTATGAGTAAGCTGGAATTCAAACTACAAGACACAGTCTTTCTCATATGTACTTCCCCCTTCCTAAGGCAGAGGAGCCTCACCTTGTGGCCACTGCCACCAGAAGCCAATGGAGAGTACTACCAGAGTACTAGCAACGTGTCCTTAAGGCCCAAGTGTTCTTAAGTCAGCTTGTGGTGAATTCTGCCTGGCCTGGGACTCACCCTTCAGGGTGATGGGCTCCCTTTTTGCCCAGGAAAGGTCCAGAAATGTCATCCAAGTGCCAATTCTTGGAATCAGAAACCTCAAGTGCTATTTTATTTTACTTATTTATTTATTTATTTATTTTTGCTCTACCACCCCGTGGCCGAGCTGGTACATAAGGTCCAAGAAAAAGGATCCTTTCCTTTTCCTCTGCAATTGTCAAGCAGAAGGAGCCTCGCCCTGTAGCCACAACAGCTGAGAATGTGCTGAGACTCACCTAAAACCAACAAGTCTCCAAGTCTCACCTAAGGCCCACAACATAGTACCTGGAAATCACTGCTGTTCATTCAGGTCAAAGGGCTCTTTAGACAGCAGGTGATGAATGCTGCCAGGACTGGGTCCTTCCCTTTAAGGTGGCAGGTTCATTTCTGGGCCAGGGTGTGTCTAGAAATGTTGGCCAGGAGCTAGGGTCTTGAATGGGAACCTCACGACTCTGACCAGCGCTATATCCTACTTTGGCTGAGCTGGTATCCAAGATGCAATATAATGTCCTCCCCACTCTTCCTTCTCCTCTCCTCAAGTGAAAGGAAGGTGTCTCCTTTGGAGCTGGGAGCTGTGCAACCTGGAATTAGGGGAGGGGTTATGCCTGCACTCCCTTAGATACCCTGACTGGTATCCCAGTAGGTCATGTGATCCCCAGTCTACTGTCTCTGGACCCAGTTCAGCACTAATGCTCATGTAAAATTTGCAGCCTTGTGGCCTAGCCTGCATTTCATATTTTTAGGGCCCCAGAGCACTTTAGCTCCTGATAGTGAGGCTCACATAAACTCAAGTTCTGGCTGCTGGAATTGGCAATTCCCCTCGCTTAGCACTGGTTTCAGTGCTGTGGGTGGCTGCCAGCTGAGTTGGGTCTGGTTTTCCTTTCTGCTCTAACAGCACTGCACTGAATTTAATGCCTCACAATTGCTGCAGTCTCTCTCGCCCCATGCACCAAAACTCTGTCTTCATTATGCTGCTGCTGCAGGGGAATAGGTGATGAGTGACATTGGCTATTCACTGCTGTTTTTCCTACCTTTTTAGTGCCTCTTCCAGCAATATGATGTTATAACCAGATACTGTGAGTGCTTACCTGATTTCTGGTTCTTATGAAGGTGCTATTTTTATGTAGATAGTTGTTATAGTGGTGTCTTTGTGAAGGGGGACAATCATTGGAGCCTTCTATTTTGCCATTATACTCTGCCCTCTCTCTAATAGTAGCTTATTAAAACATAGTTTACATACCACAAAATTTACTCTATTAAAGCATACAATTTAATATATTCACTGAGTTGTGATATCTTCACGAGTGTTTGACATTAAATCATTTTCATCACCGCATAATGTAACCTCAAACTCATCAGCAGTCACTGCTTATTCACATTCCACCCTCCTTCCTCCACGATAGGCAACCACTATTTTACTGTCTGCCTCAGTAAGTTTGCTTTTTCTGAACATTTGATATGAATAGGTTCATACAATACGTGGCCTTCTGTGTCTGACTACTTTCACTGAGCGTGTTTCCAAGGTTCATGGACATTGTAGTATGTATCAGCACTTCATTTATTTTTGTAGGTAAGTAACAGTCCACTGTGCACATATAACATATGCATCCATTCTTTCCTTGATGAATATTTGGGATCAACTTTTGTTTATTATGATTCATGCATCTATAAACATTCCTGTACAAGTTTCAGTGTGGACATTTATTTTCATTTCTCTTAGCTAAATACCTAGGTGTGGAATGCTGAGTTTCCATGTTAGCTTTGCACAAAAGTTATAACAATTTGAAATAATTGTTACAGAGCTTGATTATTATAAAATAATTACAATTCTTATAAAACTAATGCAACCAGGCAATAATGTTAGAATATTAATTTAAATGTTAAGATTGAAAAATTATTTGTCAGATTTAATAGCATTCAATTAAGCTATTATTAATCATAACAATTCATAAACTGCTTTTTATTGTAACTGGTCATTATAACTTAGAACTTCTTTTTCTGTGTGTTTTAGCACTGCTCTTTCTGTTTATGAACTTCATTACTGCCAAACTGTAAATTACAGAATGAGGGATTACTGTGTCAGATTGTAACTCTTAAGCAATTTATATATTTAATTTTCAAGGTTTAAAATAGCTGTATTGCTATATTTGTGAATATTAAATGAGCTAGTGCCATGACAGAAAATATAAAAACAGATGACTATAATGTGTAACTGCAATTTTATTCATTCACTAGGAATAAGGCATACAGTTTTGCTCTAAAAGTCACAATTTACTTTCCTGGCTTCAGTTTGGAAATGCAAGCACTAGTTTTTAAGAGGATCTTCTTAAATCAAATGCATCAAATACATTTAATCGAGGTGATTTATGGTGTAAAATAACTGCACTTGCCTAGGGTAGAAGGAATAATCAGGAGAAATTGAAATTCTAGAACCAAAAGCAGTGTTGTGCGGGGGTTACTTCTCCCCTCCAGCCCACTTCAATCATCAATCTTCTCACAATGTATCCAGTATGTTCTTAGGAGCTCATTAAGCCTCCAGCTACATTCTTTAAAATCTAGACTCTCCTTCGTCAACTGTAAGCATGCGGAATTTCAGAACAGACCATGGGATGAAGTATTTGGGAAAACCTTAATGTTATAATTAGATTATGGATTCAGTTACTTCTGCATTAGCGTATCTAGAGATCCTGTTGTTTCCTATCTCAAACCTGCTTCTTCCCCAGACCCACGTGTCAATGAATGGCACCACTGTTAACTCAGTTGCTCAACCTTAAAACCTAAGAACTTACTTTGATTCATCTATTTTTCTCTATTAACAAACAGATGGTCTTTATTTTCAAAATACATTCACAATTTCTATCTTCTTACTTCCTACACTACTCTTATCCTAGAGGAAGCTGCCATCATCTCTTACCTGGATGACTGATCCTGTTTTACTCTAGCCCCACAGGCTATTGATACTTCAGCCAGATTGATCTTTCTAACACTTAAATGAGATTATATCATTTACACATTTTTAAACTTCTAGCTGGATACCCACTACACTTAAAATAAAATTCAAACTCACCAAGAAAAATTTGACCCATCAGATCAAAGCATAAAGAGGAATTAGGATGAAATTTCTAAAGGTCCTCTTTTATTTTAATGTAATTGGTGTCAGTTCTACCAAAAGGTAAATTATAATTTCTTGTGTGCATGATGTGGTCATCGCTAAACACTCTTCAGACAGACATAAAAATGCAAAACATTTGACCACTGCATTTGATCGAGTAAAGTTTGTGACAAGAAAAAAAGCTGAAAGTATTAGCAAACAACATAAAAGTAATTAAATTAGACTTACCTATTGAAAGATACTTTCACATCAGTGTAGAGTTGCTTAAGGAGACCAATTATAGATGAAACAACACACAATTTGAAGATAAAACAAAAACATGAAAATAAAATATCCATGAACATAGCTGTGAAAATAGAAATAACACAAATAATTTATGTAAAGAATATTCATTGAAACAGACTCCCAGCATAATGATAAAAAAAAGTCACCAAGAAATGTTAAAATCTTGAATTTTTACACCCCTAACAGAATAGTCTCAAATTATATAAAATAAAATGTGACAGAACAATAAGGGACTATCAAAGTCACAATTAATATGGTTGATTTTAATACACATTTAATAGAAACAAAATGACAGACAAAATTTATGAGTATAGAAAATTCCACTGTTTGGCTGGGTGCAGTGGCTCATGCCTGTAATCCCAGCATTTTGGGAGGCCAAGGCAGGTGGATCACGAGGTCAAGAGATCGAGACCATCCTGGCCAACATGGCGAGACCCCATCTCTACTAAAAATACAAACATTAGCTGGGCGTGGTGGCACACGCCTGTAGTCCTAGCTACTTGGGAGGCTGAGGCAGGAGAATCACTTGAACCCAGGAGGCAGAGGTTACAGTGAGCCAAGATCACACAACTGCACTCCAGCCTGGCGACAGAGCGAGACTCTGTCTCAAAAAAACAAAGAAAATTCAAACATCATGGCTAACAAATTTTATCTGATAAATATGTGCAATCCTGTATCTATCAAATAGAGAAACGGGCAGATCATTGCCTGTTTATACACAGATCCAATTATTATTCATATCAGAAAAACTATGCTTCCCAGACATCCTTGCCAGTTGATTTAGCCAATGAACACCAGGGAAAGGCAAGAGAAACCATAGTCTTCCTGGCCTTCGCATACCAACCAACACAGGCAACATTTTCTAACAGCAGTTGCCTTTCCTTTGTGGTTTCAGTTCTCTACTGAAGATCTTCTCATTTTATGGTCCCATTACATCTAGTCTGCCATCACATTGATTTTAGTTTCCTCAAGATAGTCCTGGTTTCTGGTTTCTGGTTTCTGGTTTCTGATAAACACCACCTACTTTCTGTATCTCTCCAGACCTAGAGACAATAGCAGCTTTCTGCTATTTCTAATCTCTCAATTGTCTCACCTTTCTGTTTGGTTTCGCTGCATTAACATCATTTGTTAACCAATCATCAGTATTAAGTTTCCTCTCTGTAAAACATACCCAGTGATTTCTAGTTGGACAATAACTAATATAAGAACATATGTAACATTATGTTTGAGCAAAAAATAGAACAAATATAAATTATGTCATGTCACATCTCAAAAAATTTGCTGGATATTTTCTATTTATTTCCTTTTACCATTAATTCTCTGCTCTTCTTGCTTCCTTGTTCTATACCCTAAGTGCTTAACCACTGTAAACTATATAACCTGGATTCTTTGCACTCTGGCTTCTAGATCATTATGGCTAATGGGAGGCACTAGCAGGAGATTGAAGAGCATAAAAATGGATAGATGGGGGCAAATTTTCCTTACTTCTTCTCTGCCTTTATGCCATGGTTATGGCAGTGCCCTTCTACAACTTCAGTTTTGTGTAGAGTACCTATCTGCTTCCCGTGACACTACATCTTACTGGGCTCCAGTAACACTGTTTCATCCCTTTATCTCTTAATACTTGGTGGTAATAATAATGTCTTATTGTTGATAGTCCCCAGGTGCCCAGACTTTCTTGACATACTGATAAACATATCTTCATCAAAATCCCAGTTGAATGTGTCTTCTGTTACCTAGGTCATGAGCGTTTTTGAAGCATAACTAATAAATAAAGGAAGCTTTAACAAGTTTCAAAGAATTGGTATGACACAGATGAAAAATATCTGACCAGGTATTTAGATTAGAAATCAACAATGCAATGTTAAAATGTAGACATACATACATATGTGCATATATATGCATAGGAATGCAAAAACACACTCCTAAATACCAATTGGGGTGGAAAAATCGCAATGCAACTTGTAACTAAATGGTAATAAAGTTACTACATGTCAAACATTGTATAACAATATTTGATGGTATTTTATATAGACACCTTTTATTTGGTTTTATCTATTTCTCTAACAATTTATGTTTTTACCATTCTTTCTTGTATCTCAGACTTTCCTTCTGAAATCTTTCTTCTGCCTGGATTATTTTTTTGGAAAACTCTTCAATGAAAATTATTTGTTAATATATTCTCTCAGTTTTGTTTATTTATATTTCCCCCCACGTTCTTATAAGATAGTTTGTCTGAGTATACACAATTCTATGTTGATGGTTATAATATTTTATCTTAAATAAAAATTATTTTTACATTTTTTGAATAGTTTATTTTCAGATCCTTTTATTTGTCTTTGACTTTCTGTAGTTTCACAAAAATACTTGGTTTTCCTTTTATATATTTTATTGTGGATAAATGATACCTCCTGTATTCATTAGTTCATAATTTTCATCAATTATGAAAAATGTTTAGGTCTCAATAATTCCTTGAATTCCTCAATATTTCTCAATATTATTCCTTTTATATGATCACTGTTCTATTTTTCTTTGTCTATGATTTCATACACATTAAAATATTTCATTCATATAAAATATAATACCTTAAATCTGCATGACTTGTAAATAAGCATTTCAGTATATTTGAGCCTTGATAATAAAAAAAAAAAAGAAAGTGACTTTTTTAATTTACCACAGATCAGGAACCTGTACGGAGACTGTGTGGACAAGGTATGAGACCAGCTTTCCCAAGGGGCTTTTATTGGCTCTAAAAGTCAACTTTGATTTCTTAAAAGGATCTGAAAGCACATCATTTCAGTCAAAACTTTGTTAAAATAACCAGTGTCTCCAAAAGTGTCCTATTACAAAAGTAAATAGATTCCTATTGCACTCATGCAAATATATTGCCATCAGTTAAAAATACTCACAGCTGGTTTCCAAATTTTTGATAAATCAGGTGGAAAGAAATATGCACCAAATTTTGTTTATAAGAGCATACATTACTCAACAATTAAAAGCTACAAATAGCTCTAAAGAAAAGATTTTTTAGCTCTGAAAAACAAAGGATCAACAACGTTTTAAGCAAAAAATCATAAAATTATTTATCTCAGTCTTCTATTAGTTCAGTCTGTGCAAGTAACTCCTGTTTTGCTTGATATTCATGAACATTTCAGCTCTCCATGGGAGTCCTAAAAGTTTTTCTTCTATTCTAGTGTCACAGTTTCCAAAAACCTCCATTCAAGAGCACCCATCAGAGTCTGATATGGTTAGACTTTGTGTCCCAACCCAAAGCTCATCTTGAATTGTAATCCCCGGGTGTTTAGGAAGAGACCTGGTGGGAAGTGACTGGATTATTGGGGTGGTTTTTCCCACGTTGTTCTCATGAAAGGGAGCGAACTATCATGATGGTTTTTTAAATGGTAGTTTTTCTTGCGCTGACACACACTGTCTCTCTTGCCTGCTGCCATGTAAGACGTGCCTGCTTCCCTTTCCACTATGATTGTAAGTTTCCTGAGGCCTCTCCAGCCATGCAAAACTGTGAGTTAATTAAACCTCTTTGCTTTATAAATTACCCAGTCTTGGAAATTTTGTTATAGTAGTGTGAAAATGGATGGATACAGAGTCCTATGCTGATTACAAAACCACCTTTTGGAAAGGATAACAGTAAAACAACTGTAGATGACAAAAGTCCTAAAACAGTTATAAAGGCACAATTGACAAGGAAATTTGGTTACTTCTGTGGCATACAATGGTTTTACATAATAACCATAATTACTACTAATAACATGTGCTAAGACATAACAGAATCACAGGAATGTCATAGAATTCTGGAACACATACTAATTACACATTTATAGAAATATAATCCAAAGAAGGTTAAATACTGTTTCATATTTGGCAATATTTCCTGTATGATTTTGTGATATCAAATAAGCTAAATATGTTTCTTTTTGAACTTCAGGTGACTAATATCAAAAAATTTATGAGAACCAAGTAAGAATTTGATTTTGGAAAATTTCTTAAATATAAAAAGTTTAAAAAACTTGATATCACAAAATAGGATCAGAGGTCATTGTAAAATAAGTCATTCATTTAGCCAAAATGATAACAAAGATTTCAAAAAAAAAAAAAACGGTAAAAACCTTTATTCTTTGAGAGAGGAGACTTAATTTCCCAAACAATAAGCCCTAATAAAAACAACATGAGAACAATTAAATTTCTTTTTAAAATTGTATAATCTATAGAATTTTAATTATTTTGACCATAATACATAATTTCCATAAGCCTTTTTATAACCTTTATAACCTTTTATTAAGAAGTTGTTAATGCTCCAAGAAAATCTTATTAATCGGACACAGGGGCCCATATGCTGGCCTTGCATCAGTGTGCCTTTGACATTAATGATTAATTTATAGAGAAAATGAACTTATTTTATCACTCAAAATTGGCCCCTAAAATCTCACGTGCCCACCTCTTCTGTGATAGTCCCTGGGCCTTGAGTTGAATAGTTTTAATTTCTAGCCCTGTGTCTCATGAATGTAGTTTATTTTGATTGACACCTTCTACCAGGTCTGAGGTTGAGGTTTTACCTGCTGTCAATGTTTAAGATTTAGATCCAGGAGTCAAAGCCCCATAACTTAATGGCACAAGGCCTTTAAAAGCACATACAGAAAGTTACATGAATGTAATAATCTTAATTAAGAAAACAGTTTTTAATCTTAGTTTTTTTCTAAGCAAACTATAAAACTTAGTAATAATAACATATGAATTATTTCAATAAAGCTTAAAATCTGCTTATTAGGCCAGTTGCCCAAAGGCAAAAGAAAAGACCTTCTGCAGTGTGACTCCTGTTTCCTATGGGGACTCCATTTAGAAAATCTACAAGTCAAAACTAATGAAAAGAGTATTTTAATTAGCTAGACATAGAAAGAGTGTTTCCTGGGTTATAAGTGCAAAATTTTGGATTCATAGAACAATTTAAAGCCAAGGGCATAGAATATTGTGTTAGAAATAAACATCTCCTTTAGACCTTTAAGATAAAACGTTTTTAGCATTAGGCCACAACAGGTAGAACAACAATGACAAAAATAACTACAGAATCTGAAAATGAGTTGAAGGATAGAATTATTATTTCAGGCACTTTAAAAGCGGAGCTATAACAGAAAACAGTGAAATGCAGTAAGTTTAACTTTGTGTGATAAAAAATATATAACATCTTGTAATTTTATTAAGAGTAAAGCAAATACCTTAGGAAAATTTTATTTTTCTAACCAATTATTTAGTGTATAAGTGATTCCTTTTTTAGTATCAAAACCTGACCCCTAGAAAGATCATTATAAATAATTTCCCTTTACTTACAGACAACTTGATCATATAAAAGTTCTTTTTTCCATAAAATTTCTTATTATAACTTACACAGACCATTCATGACATGCTTGCACTTTCCAGTTTGTCTTGAACATTCCTCTTTCTTAAACAGTCATTTTATTCTAGGACAAAAATGTACCATACAAGATCCTTTCTCATGTAAAATTATTTTTCTTTAAGCTTTCTTACCAAAAATACCTCTTAATTTCTATAACATTCTTTACATTTCTTTTATTTCCTAGTTCCTTTTTCCTTGTTTTATACATAATCTTTAAATACATTGAATTAGACAAAAAAATTCACTTTTTAATGAGTACACTAATTTTTAGAATGTTTTCCTACAATATGTATTTTTTAATTGGAAAATACCCATTAAATGGAATATCTATTATTTAACTTTAGATTCTAAATTATAACAAGTTTTTCTATAAGTATTTATCCCATTACATTTACCTAATTATTTTATTTTTTATTCTTATTTTTTATTAAAGTTAAAAATAACTTTAATAACTTTAGATAATGACTTAGAGTTTTTTAACTGAGATTACTTTAATAAGAAATGAGAAAAAAATTACTTTAATCGTGGTAAAAAAATATGATAGTCATTATCTAAAGTTATTTTCTTGTCAACTATTTTACAGCCTAGGAATTTGAGGTTTTTACCTAAGAACCTTAAGATTAAATATATGGTTATTTTACCAAATAATTTAAGATTTAGCTGTTTTCATTATACCAATATTAATGTCTTATTTTTAAAAATTTTTACAAACAAAGATTATTCTGTTTTGGCTGGGTTTACAGTTTAATAATATTTATGCCAAATTTTGACACCTTATAGTATTTGGCAGGGATAAGTATGAAATCACTTAATAGATACAAACAAAAATTTATGCTGACAATTCTGAAGACATTTTTAACATTACTTAACCAATAATTGTAACACTGACTTATCAAAGATTTTACTTAAGTCCATGAACTTGAAAAGCATTTGGGCTTATTATTTAATTTGTACTCTTTAAGCCAAATTTGCTACCTTGTGACCAAAAACACCTAATAAAATATGTGTATGTACACACAAACACACACAAACACACTCCTACAAAGATCCTATAGCTTTTATTTTTCAGAACTCTATCCATGAGATATTAATACAAACTCACTGGCTTGCAAAAACAATAACAAAAAAACAGTTGGATAAGAAAAAAAAATGGTTGGATGAAACTGGATTTTATCTCAGTAGGAAAGTAACCACAGACTTAAAGCAGGCAGAAAAGAAAGCAGATAGATAGAGAACGTAGGAACTTTATAGTTGCCGCTTGACCTTTGGGCTCTGGATTTTCCTTGATGTAATTTGCCCAACAGTTTAAAATATGCACAAAAGCAGAACTAATGTGTAACTAGCTGGAATATTACAAAATGTGGCATGCCCTTCCACTGACAGAACCACTTGCAAGTAGTGGCTCCATAAAACCCAACGAGGTGCCCAAGAGGGGCCATTCTCCTTGTCTTTCCTTACTCATAGATGATTTGTTTCCCGCATTTTTTTTTTAAAGGAGAATCTGAGCTGTGGCCTAGGTTTAGTGTGGTGGATTGACGTGTGCTGGTTGCGGGTGGGACTCCACAGTGTGTCACTACTGAGTCATTTTTGCCTTTTTACATGTCTCGTTTTCTCTTCCAGAGGTCTAGCACCTCTAGGAGGGCTCAAAGTGCACCAACTCTTATATGCACTTCTTGATTGAGCCTTTTTAAACTAATTGTTTTTGGGGTTCCCTGTAGGGCCACTGCAGGTTGCAGACTGTCAACACCCCAAACACTCCCACTTGGTTCCCAGTCAGCCAGGGGTGCCTTTCAGTTGGGAGTAGCAAAATGCCCTTTCTCTTTGGAACTGAAGAAACTCAGCCTCGCATTTATCTACAAAAACAGTTCAGTTCCTCATGCAAATGTGCAGACAAGCCAGTCAAGATTAATTTGGGCAGGAAAGGCAATGGAGAAGACTCTTTAGAATGCACCTCCAAATTCGAATTAGGATCCTAAGCAACAGCTTCCTAGGAGAAAAAAAAAAAAAAAAAGCTAAGACTACTTCCTGTACACTATCCTCAACCACCTTTAACTTTGTAGCTCTTCTTTGCCACTACACACACCAAGGTCAAATCCTCTCACCGTACAAGGTTATCTCTGGTACCCCCAAAAGCCAAAGAAGTCAGGTAATGCAAATCCAGGAAAGCAGAGCTTTGAACCTAAGAAGAATCTGCTCGTGATCCTTGAAACTCCTCAAAGAAAACAGAATATTCCCCAAAGGGGTGAGTTATTGGTTCTGAATTCTTTAACAAAAAGGCATATGAGACAGGTCTCAATTAATTTAGAAAGTTTATTTTGCCAAGGTTTAGGACCTTGACAAAGACTCAGGAGGACATGACGACACGTGTACAAGGTGGTCGGCACATAGTTTGGTTTTATACATTTTAGGGAGACATGAGATAGGAATCAATATATGTAAGCTGTACGTTGGTTCCATCCAGAAAGATAGAACAACTTGAAGTGGGAGGGGTCTTTCAGGTCACAGGTAGATAAGAGACAAATGATTGCATTCTTTTGAGATTTTGAGAAGCACAATTTACAGGAAAGGTCACTTATGCCTTAGTCTGGCTTAGTCTGGCACAGGAAACAATCAGGTGTGCATTTGTCTCATGTAATCATAGGGATGACTTTGCGTTCTACCTGTCCTTTTTCCATAAGAAAAGAAATTTCCTTGTGGACAAATTGTGAGGGAGGTATGTAGCTTAAAAAAAAAAAATCTTTGTAGCTATCTTATTTAGGAATAGAATGGGAGGCAGGTTTGCCCGACGTAGTTCCCAGCTTGACTTTTCCCTTTGGCTTAGTGATTTTAGGGAGATTTATTTTTCTTTCACAATGTTAATTTAGCATTAAAATTCTGATACAGAAAACAGTGTTTCACTGTGAGGTCTATCGGCCAGGATGACCCCACATCCAGTTTAATACCTGCTATCCCAGCATAATCCTGAAGAGCACCAGCTTTCAGTCTCAGTAAAATCCCACTTAGGTAGGTAAATTATACAGTCACATTGTTATTAACCCTAGTATACTCCTTTAAGTTTATTTACAACAGAATCTGGCAAAATGCAGCCTCTGGATTTTATCTTACCCTGCCGATTCCATCATACAGTCAACCAAATATTACTTTATGCACATCTGATTCAAATGGGCAAACTACAAACTCCATGTTCATATTTTTAAAGCCATTACTCAATCCTAATTTGAAAAGACAGAACATAGGAGAAATCATTTCCACAGGAAAATATCAAGAAACTATGTGCCACACATCCTGGGACAACTGTAGCAGAAATTAGAAATTAAAAGTGTGCTAGTCACGAACCAGGAGCATCCCCAATCCAGTATTCTGGCGCCTGCTATCTAGAAGAGGATTGAAGCGGCCATTTGTTTTTAGTAAATAAATATTTCAAAAAGCATACATGAGAATTATTATTTTTATCAGCTAAAAAGAGCTCCATGGAAAAATCTATTAGCAAAATAAGTGACAAGTGACAGTGTTTGACAACTTTCAAATAATCTACACTTACATAGTTTTAAATGGTACTTGTATTAGCTTGGCCATTGTTTTGATAACAGAATAAAGAATGACATTACTGAGGAACAATGTGTCATAAGAAAAGAGCATAACTCTTAAAGTCAGACAAATCTAGGTTCAAATTTCAGTTCAATCACTTAATAGCAGTGTGGTCTCTGAGCCTCAGTTTCCTCAACTATAATATGGGAAAATAGCACCTACCAAAATAAGTTGTTGAGAATAATAAATGAGATTTTATTTATGAAGTGTCTAGCATACAGAAAGTATGCAATGAATAGTTATTAATATATTTTATTTACTTATTTATTTGTTAACATACTTTAAGTTCTAGGGCACATGTGCACAACATGCAGGTTTGTTACATAAGTATACATGTGCCATGTTGGTGTGCTGCACCCATTAACTCGTTATTTACATTAGGTATATCTCCTCATAAAAAGAATGAAGCTAGTTATTAATATTTTAAGAAACACTTTAAAATATCTTACAGATATACATCTACAAAGTTATACCACAGTTTAAAAATTCTTATCAATTGAGTTTAATATAGTAACTCATGGTATCTTCAATAGCCACCTAGGTGTTCAATGACATAGTGATGAAGGAATCATATTTTTTCCTTCCAAGTTCATTATAATTTTTACTTCCATTACACAAGAGCATAAACACCCAGTAAAAAAAGTTACTTGAAACAATAGATGTATTAAAACTGGATATTAACCTTCAGGATGCTAAGGACCTAGGTATGCTTTCTCTTTCTCTTCCCATTGAATTCATTTAATCAATCAAGGGTTTTTTTGGCAAATTGTGGCAACAACTTATATTTATTATGTAAAAATATCTATATTTGGCCATCTTTCATTAAACCATCACAAATTGACTATTTTTTGGCTGAAGAAAATAGATTTTATGAAATCATGTTGATTCCACAAGCATCAAATACTTGGACAAAAGTATTACACTGATTGTAGGATAATATTCATGATATACGTATCATGAAATTCATCTAAAAAGTAAAAGAGAATTATAATATAAATGTTGATGATTTTGGCATAAATATTAGACTCGAGTACCAAACTGTTCCCTGTTTATTCAAACACTAAATATATGTTACATACGAGAAGTGAGGCTAAGAACTGTGAAGTAGCCTTTTTTTTTTTTTTGACAGTAAGGAATGTTGTTATTCTTTTCTGAATCCTCAACATCTAACAGAGTACTTAGTACTTCATTCTGACAAGTCACTATATATCAACTGTGTAATTATGTAAGAGAAGTAAAAACAAAATACTGCGAGAGTTTATAGTGGGGAATATTGCCTTAGAGTTTTCCAGCTTGAGTGTGCATGTCAGCCTACATACAGTACTCTGATGGTTAGTTTTGTATGTCAACCTGACTGGGTGACAGGTATTTAATCAAACACTAATCTAGGTGTTGCTGTGGAGGTATAATGATTATTAACATCTCTAATCAGCAGACATTAAATAAAAGAGATTATATTTGATAATATAGGTAGGCCTCATCCAATCAGTTGAAATACCTTAAGAGCAAAACTAAGGTTTCCCTGACAAGGAAATTCTACTTCCTCACTCCTGTCTGAGAGTCCCAGACTTCAGATTTTCAAGCCCCAACAATTGCATTAGCCCATGTCTTGAAAGAAATGTGTGTGTGTGTCTGTGTGTGTGTGTGTGGGGGTGGGGGTGTTTCAATAATCCTTTCTGTCTGGAAAGCCTTCAGTGAAAAAATAAATTAACAGCAAAATAGTGCCAGTATTTCACCTAAACAACCACTAGGCAAGTTCCTTAATGCATTGACTCAAGAATATTTAAGTTTGATAGATGGTATTATACCCTAGTAATGAATAGACAAAGTAATTTTGGAGCTTGAAAAAAAATACTTTTGAAAAGAGTTGAGTACACAGGAGAGGGTATCCGGCCGTGGACTTCAACAAAACTCAGTAGAGATTCCAATCTTGTCATTTACTGGCTTAATGACCTTAGGCAAGATCTTAAATCCCTGATAAACCTTATTTTCTTCAATTTAAATTGGAATAATAAAATGAAGCCAACCACAGAGGTTTGTTAGGAAGGTTTAACTTAACGATTTATACCTCCAAATAGGTTTAGCAAGTATGTGGCATATATAGGAGTTCAATAAATGGTAACTACAACTAAAATAATTTGAGTTTATAGCTTATAATTGTCATATGATGTTAAAATAAAACAGATAACTCCACAACATGTGAATATGTGTACACATACGTAAGTACGTATATTCTAAAATGCAATTTAATACATGAATTTACCTATGCAAAAAAACCTGCACATGTACCCCTGAACCTAAAAGCTTTTTTAAAAAAAAAAAAAGAAAAGAAATATAGACATCATTTAACCCAATAATTTGAAACCCTGGCTGGACATCGGAATCATTGAAATGGATTTTAAATAATGTATGATTACAAGGTGCCCCAGCTCTCCTTTCTCTCACCCTCTCTCCTCCTCCCACTTACAATTCTGACTCCCACATGCTTCTAATGTACAGCCAATGTTGAGAAGCAATCATTTGATGCATATGGGGAAAGTGAGGTTGGGAATTAATTGGTTCAGTGAAGGTTATGTCTTATTAGGAGCATTACAACTCTAGCATCCTCCTGTTGGCAACAGAGGACAACATTCTTCTGAGGCTACAGTGAAGAGCCTAGTTTACATTGATGGGGATAACTACTATGTTGACTTGCTGTTGACCCATCCACTTTAAAAATTAGCATGCCTCCTTATGAGTTTGCTTTGCTCAATTTATAGACTGGCTCGCCTTGAGCAGTTCTACCGCTTCTTTAAGCACCTGTGGAGTGTAGGGTCAAATAAATTATCTTGCTACTTTCAGTATAGCTGGGCTGTCAGAATACTGGAATAACAGAGCATATTCTTCCTGTCATCAGTGCTCCACTCAACCTTTTAATTGCTTATAATCTAGGGATGAAGCAGTGGAAAGACTGTCTATTGAAAGCGGATAAAGTGTCCCACAGAATAATGTTAAACGTTAGTCTAATTGGCACTGGCCAAAAGTATGACGCTACCACTGTGCAAATAGTGATGACATTTCCTGGTGTACTTAGCACAGGCCAGAATATTGGCATTCTTTTGCCACAGCAGCACCTTGACCTAGAAGAACACATACAAATTTTAAAATGTTGGTTTCTTAATTTTAAACAGGGACTGCAAATGGATTTAGAAAAAATAAAATACCTAATGTCACCTCTATAATCTAGCGATATGAATGGCTTTTCTATTTATCCACATGCCATCTATACATGTATGTTCAGTGTGCACACAAAATAAATTTTACAGTTATAATTACTGTATATGCAATTTTGAGTTTTACTTTCCCTTCATAAGTTTTTTCTAAGTGAAGGGTCTGCAAACTCTTTCTATAAAAGGCCATATAGTAGATATTGTATGCTTTACAATTATGTACTCTGTCATAACTACTCACCTCTACCTTTTGTCACACAAAAGCAGCCATACAAGATACATAAAGGAATGGCATTTGTGTGTTCCAATAAAATTATGTTTACAAAAACCGGTCATGGGATTGATTTGGCTCACGTTGGCCATAGTTTGTTGACCCTGTAGTAACATGGTCCTCATATTCGCCATCTTTAATGGCCACATAATATTATATTTGAGAAATTAACTTTTTGAGCATTGTTTTATTGCTGAGCATTTCGTTTATTTTTTCTGTGTATGGATATTAAAATAAATAATGGGAATTATAAAAAATGTTTTGATGAGAAATAGTTTATTCTCAGTTTGTACTAGTTTTCTTAACACAAATTTAAATTTGACAGATTCAATGACTAGAACAAAAGGTGCAGAATTTATATTATTTCAAATTGTTCTAATTGAACTGAATTTCACACCATCAGTAATATATACCTGTTTTTGCACAGTTTTGTCAACATCAGATTTTACTTTAATGGAAGCACATTATTATTTGAGAAGACTCCAAAATCCACCTCTTATAGGTGAGTTATCTATGGCGACAGGATACTCAGTTACTTATAGTTAAGGGGAAGGCAAAGAGTGGGACTAGGTTTTCTGAGCGCCATTCCCCACTTCAGCATGCTTCATCATAAGAGCCACTGCTCTCCACAAACTAGCAAAATAAATTGCGGATTATTTTTCCTTCTTTGTCTTAAAACTGTGTCATATTATTCATACTGATTTGCTGTGGCTCATGAAGGAATACCACACACCCTGAGATGTATAAGAATGCGGTGGGGACTTGGATTTGTCAAATATTTTAGTAAGGTCACTTTTATACCCAATGTTCAGAGGTAAAATAGGACTCAACCAGTGTAAGATAAGATATGATAAGCTTTATTTCCAGAATTTAAAGGAAGTCACTGAAGTAAAACTGACTGTGAGATGTAAAAGCCATTGCTAAGGATAGTGAAGTACAAATGTTACTTTTTATTATTTTTATTTATTTAAGCTCAATAGATGCAAATGAGTAGTACCTGATAAATGAGAAAGAAAGGTCAACTTTTGATAAGGGGAATAATATCTCAAGTGAGTCACTTTTAAGATATTCAGCCTTTACTTCTGTTAGCCTTAGTGGATATGGTCCTCTACATCCTTCCTGCCACCTTGCATATTGCCTCTTGTAAAAAAAAAAAAAATCACCACATTCCACTGATATATCATTAAGTCAAAGAACAGTAGATATAACTGCTTCCATTTGAGCCAAACTCAGAGAGTTGAGAAAATAGTTGAACTTTTTTGGGGGTCGGAAGGGTACCACTAATTTGATCCAGAAGATACTGGGGGAAAGGAGGCCCTTCACTCATTGAAAATACAGCATTCAGAGGGAAGAATTGGCAACAGGAACTTGGTCACAGGGAAATCCAGGAAGTGGTAAGCAGAGTTTTCTGGAGGATAGGTGGAGCACAATTTAAAAACAAAAAACAGAAACAAAAACCAATGGGTAATGTACAACCAAAAAGAGAGCCCAGAGAGCCATCTAGCTGCAGGAATTTGGCATGAAGTTCAGGGTTGAGGTTGGGATTCAGGGACAGGGTTCCAGACCTATATGTGTGTTTCTGTGTGTGTGTGTGTGTGTGTGTGTGTGTGTGTGTGTGTGTGTGTATGGGGTGGTGGGAACATGCAAAGATTGAGTGAACAAAATCTTTTCTAGGTGACAGGAATTAACCAGCTCACCAAGGCTGGAAATGGTCAGCATAAGAGCAGAGATCAATGGTAAAAGGCATCCTGATTGTGGAGACACTAAGTACTAGAGCCACACTACCTGAGTTCAAATCCCAGCTCCAACACTTACCAGTTGTATGATCTCAGGGAAGTTATGTACGCTCTCAGTGCCTCAGTTTCCTCATCTGTAAGAGGGAGAATAAAAGTATTCATATCATAGAACTTTAGTGAGGATCAAATTAGTTTATATATATTTAAATGTTATATAAATTTGTAAAAGTTCCTGGCATATATGCTCTATGTGGATTTATTATTATATGCAGCTTCCCAAAATATCTGAGCAAAGACAGACTAAGACAGAATCTGCAAATACGGGTCAGAAGAATCCAGGGTTCCTTCCTCCACCAAACCAGTCTCCTGCCTTTCAGTTTCCTGATCAAGTTTTACCTGATCAATGTCAGTTGTCTGTGATATAGTTTGATTATTTGTCCCTTCCAAATCTCAGGTTGAAATGTGACCCCCAATGTTGGAAATGGGGCCAAGTGGGATGTGTTTGAGTCATGGGGGTGGATCCCTCAAGAATGGCTTGATCCCCTCCCTATATTAATGTGTTCACAAGAGACCTGGTTGTTAAAAAGAGCCTAGCACCTCCCTCCTCTTTCTTGCTCCTTCTCTTGCCAAGTGACATGCAGGCTCCCCTTGCCTTCTGCCACGAATAAAAGCTTCCTGAGGCCTCGCCAAAAGCAGACGTGGTTGCCATGTTTCTTGTACAGTCTGCATAACTATGAGCCAAATAAACCTTTTTTTTTTTAAATAAATTACTCAGTGTCAGGTATTCCTTATAGCAATGCAAAGCAAACTAATTAAGTCTGCATGTTACTCCATTATGTCTTCTATCATGGTATGCCCTTTTTCAAACAATGCATTATTGAGTAGACCTCTTTGGTACCTCCTGATGGGGCATGTGCTCAAGTTATAGGAACTAGAAGGTGCATGGTGCTCTTTATTAACCAGGAGCTTGGTGAACAGAATGTTTATAATGGTCCAAAAATGACATTAACACAGTTGTCCTGCTTCTCTGGGTTTCCCTAAAGCCAGTGTCGAGTAAATTTACGTCTTGGAAATTAACCCCTAGAATGTATGAGGAAGAGACCAAGCAGTGAGGTCAAGCAGCCCCCAAATACAAACAGGCCACAGGTGACTTAACAATGAAAATAATCCAACCAAAACTGAATCCAGTGGAATTTTGAAGAATTTACCTAAATGGTGAGAACAGTCTCTGTCTTTTCAAACTTTTTCTGACTTGTTTGAAGCAAGTCTCAAAATGCAAACACGGAGCTCAGGAATGAATACTGGAGGGCTCTGACAGCATCAGCAAGCCAGACGTAGACATTTCAGGGTCGGTTGTGTTTGTTGAATCTTTTGTTACCAGATGTTAATAGAGAGGTAAAACATTAAAAAAAATACGTGGCCCCTTGTCACATCAATTTTATATATGTGTGTGATATATCACCATTTTGTTTCCAGATGAAAGAGAGTAGATACTAAGTAGGCAAATGCAATTTATATTAGAAAAATAACCTGTGTTTGATTAAATAAATCTAATGATCAGTACTATACTTTATTTGTAAACTTACCAGTAATAATTTTGTTTATAAGGCTATGTCCTTTATAAAATTTTATGAATACCAGAATGTATTACTCAATGAGCTATTTTATTGAGCAGTTATTATATTCAGGACAGCATACTTTTTTATCAATACAGAAATAACTGCCAGCAACCTGGAAGTATTATTGCAGGCCTTGTCTTGTGGGACACTACAAAAGTTAGCCATTTCTGCCTATCAAACAACAATTTAGTAAAATTGCATTCATACTGCAAGACACTGAATTATCAATGAGCTCTAAATACCACTAAATTCACATCAAGATAGATAAACACTACTATCTTGTCAGTTGTACTTATTTTCTTCATCCTCAAGAAGCTGTCATCGAGGCCATGTTCATGTGTTTTGAAATAACCACAGTTGAAGAGAGACTTATTTATTGTTGTAGGTGCATTCTTATGGCCAATTCCTGTGGATTTGTACTCAGTGCCAAAGCAGAATGAGTAATGAAATACCTATCCCAATAGGTAGCGAGCAATCTAAGAGTAAGAGCCGTGTCTTGTTTATCTGTTTTGACTGGCTTAGAGTCTAGCAGTTACTTAGAGTGAGAGATAGTGAATGTATATTAAGACCAAGGCACTTGTTATGGCTGAATTGTGGCCCCTCAACCCGAAGTTTATTACTTATGTTGAAGTCCTAACCCCCAGTATTTCAGAATGTGACCATATATGGAGACAGAATCTTTACAGATACAATTAAGTTAAAATTAGGTCATTAGTGTGGACCCTAATACAATAAGACTGATGTCCTTATAAGAATAGATTAGGACATAGACACGCAAAGAGGGAATATCATGTGAAGACACATGGAGAAGATGACCATCTACTGGCCAAAGAGAGGTCCCCAAAAGGAACCAACCCCACTGACACCTTGATTTCAGACTTCTAGCCTCCAGAAATGAGAGGAAAAGAATTTCTGTTATTTAAGTCACCTAGTCTGTGGTACTTTATTATAGCAGCCTTAGCAAACTAATACAGCACTTCCCGTGGCTGGTGGTGTTTTCCATTTCCTCAGTTTCGGTGGGCTTTCTCTAAACTTTTTTTTTCATCGAATATAGGCATTGCCTTGACTTTTCTCTCATGGAAACTCACTAGTTGCTGTTTGCATTAACTTAGGAAATCGCACCTTAATTTTTCCCTGTGGTATTCATCCACACTCTTGTCCCACTTCCAATAAAATTCTTTATTTGGCTGTTGATCTACCATTTTCCAAAACTTCCTGTTCTTAAAATGCCTAGCTTGAAAGCCCTAAGCCTTCTGGCTTATTCCCATCCTTTGGAAGGAGAAAGGTAACTGGTATTTGTGGAGCATGCTTCCTATAGCAAAGCATTCTGCTAGGTCTCCCATACTCCTCTCACCTCCTACTCCTCTAAAGCCAGTGTGATACCCTCAGCCATTCTGGGTTTTCTTGTAATCTTCTCATGTTCAGCTCTCTGCTCTTGACATTAGTGCTTTGCTGGAAAGAGGGATCCTAGGGGTCAACACAGTGCTTTTTACTCAGGTTTTTAGATATAAAATGTTAAATAAACCTATAATAATTGAGCTGAAGGGACTCGATACTATTCAGAAATTGATTTGGTTAATTCAATCTTCTAAGTAAGTATGCACAATTAAGATATTGTAAAACGGTCCTGAATGGTATTGCCTAGGTTTTCTTCTAGGGTTTTTATGGTTTTAGGTCTCACATTTAAGTCTTTAATCTATCTTGAGTTAATTTTTTCTATAAGGTATAAGGAAGGGGTCCGGTTTCGTTTTTCTGCATATGGCTAGCCAGTTTTCCCAACACCGCTTATTACATTGGGAATCCTTTCCCTGTTGCTTGTTTTTGACAGGTTTGTCAAAGATCAGATGGTTGTAGATGTGTGGCTTTATTTCTGAGGCCTCTGTTCTGTTCCATTGGTCTATATATCTGTTTTGGTACCAGTAGCAGCTGTTTTGGTTACTCTATCCTTGTAGTATAGTTTGAAGTCAGGTAGCATGTTGCCTCCAGCTTTGTTCTTTTTGCTCAGGGTTGTCTTGGCTATATGGGCTCTTTTTTGGTTCCATATGAAATTTAAAGTAGTTTTTTCTAATTCTGTGAAGAAAGTCACTGGTAGCTTGATGGGGATAGCATTGAATCTATAAATTATTTTGGGCAGTATGGCCATTTGCATATTGATCCTTCCTATCCATGAGCATGGAATGTTTTTCCATTTGTTTCTGTCCTCTCTTATTTCCTTGAGCAGTGGTTTGTAGTTCTCCGTGAAGAGATCCTTCACATCCCTTGTACGTTGTATTCCTAGGCATTTTATTCTCTTTGTAGCAATTGCAAATGGGAGTTCACTTATGATTGAGTGAGTTTCTTAATCCTGAGTTCTAATTTGATTGCACTGTGGTCTGAGAAACTGTTATGATTTCTGTTCTTTTGCATTTGCTGAGGAGTGTTTTACTTCCAATTATGTGGTCAGTTTTAAGTGCAATGTGGTGCTGAGAAAATGTATATTCGGTTGATTTGGGGTGGAGAGTTCTGTAGATGTCTATTAGGTCCACTTGGTCCAGAGCTGAGTTCAAGTCCTGAATATCCTTGTTAATTTTCTGTCTTGTTGATTTGTCTAATATGGAAAGTGGGGTGTTAAAGTCTCCCGTTATTATTGTGTGGGAATCTAAGTCTCTTTGTAGGTCCCTAAGAACTCGATTTATGAATCTGGGTGCTCCTGTTTGGGGTGCATATATATTTAGGGTATTTAGCTCTTCTTGTTGAATTGATCCCTTTACCATTTTTTAATGCCTTTCTTTGTCTTTTTTGATCTTTGTTGGTTTAAAGTCTGTTTTATCAGAGACTAGGATTGCAATCCCTGTTTTTTTTTCCTTTTTATTTGCTTGGTAAATATTCCTCCATCCCTTTGTTTTGAGCCTATGTGTGCCTTTGCACGTGAGACTGGTCTCCTGAATACAGCATACAGATGGGTCTTGACTCTGTATTCAATTTGCCTGTCTCTGTCTGTTAATTGGGCCATTTTGGTGTACCTGAAAGTGACAGGGATAATGGAACCAAGTTGGAAAACACTTTTAACAGGAGAACTTCCCCAACCTAGCAAGACAGGCCAACATTCAAATTCAGGAAATACAGAGAAGACCACAAAGATAGGCCTCGAGAAGAGCAACCCCAAGACACGTAATTGTCAAATTCACCAAGGTTGAAATGAAGGAAAAAATATTAAGCGTAGCCAGAGACAAAGGTCAGGTTACCCACAAATGGAAGCCCATCAGACTAACAGTGGATCTCTCTGCAGAAACCCTACAAGCCAGAAGAGAGTGGGGGCCAATATTCAACATTCTTACAAAATTTTCAACCCAGAATTTCATATCCAGCCAAGCTAAGCTTCATAAGCGAAGGAGAAATAATATCCTTTACAGACAAGCAAATGCTGAGATATTTTTTCACCACTAGGCCTGCCTTACAGGAGCTCCTGAAGGAAGCACTAAACATGGAAAGGAAAAACTGGTACCAGCCACTGCAAAAACGTACCAAATTGTAAAGACCATCGACACTATGAAGAAACTGCATCAACTAACGGGCAAAATCACCAGCTAGCGTCATAATGACGGGATCATATACGCACATAATAATATTAACCTTAAATGGGACACTTGACTTTTTAAAAATTCTACAATTATTCCATTTTACTACACTGGCTGCTCAGACAGGAATATTTTTATCACTTAGCATTTGTTGAATATCTTCCTATGTGTGAATTACCGGGCAACATGCCAAACGAAAGATAAGTCGATAAGTTACACCTGGGTTGATGGCAGGTAGAGAATACAGAGGAGAAAAGCTGTTCAGTTGTTCAATGTGTGAGTGCACTTCTGCTTGCATAGGCAAAATATATAAATGTCTGTAGTCACAGCCAGCCTAAACAGGCTGACTCCAAAAGAGGTTATTACACCGTCATTTAAAATTAAAATTTAATAAGTTATATTCAACATTAGTTGAAAACATTCATAAATTTAATGAATCATCTAATTAAATATTGTATATGGAAGAGCATGGAGAAGATTGAGAGAAAACTTTAAGAGAGTTATTTTTATGTTTAAATGTAATTAGTAAGTAATGTTTTAAAAACAAAACCCTCTCAAATTTTATGAAGCCTTTTTTCTAAACCAGAAAATGTTCTTTCATAAACCATCCCTCGTTTTCAGGAATTACATGTTTATTTTTGCTTTTGGTTGTAAGTACTCAGCTAAATTACAATTTACACCAGTCTCCTTTTTGTCAGTCTAAGCAAGCCCAATTTCATGCAGAATGATTATACATCTATATTGTCAATTACTCTGTTGTGTTACGATGCCAAAATTCCTCTAGGTTAGAAGATGCTATCATGAGAAAAAAACTGCATCTTTGTTATCAGGACGTGACACCTGGTTTCATTTGTAATTTCTCTTAATATTCTTTTTGATATTGTGTGGTAAACTTACCTTTTGCCCCTTTTGGGGATCTAATAATGAGATCCCCAAGTTGATATGTCAGCTAGCTTTCAGTTCGATATTTAACGTGAAGTAGAAAAGTCAATTTGAAATTTGACAGGTAATTTGCTGTACAAGTTCATGAAGCACAAGTTTGGAAGTACATCATCTATAGCAGCCTGGATTTGAAATACAGCTCCTTACCCTCCACTTAAAGAGCCTCTAGTTAATTTGTAATTTTGGTAACCATAGAACATCAAACACCATCTTTCCAAGTAGCATGCAAACTGTGGCACAAACAATTAAATAGCCCCAAGTGCTTGAGAGAGTTAATTTAGTTCAAATGAAAGAGCTTCATATTTCCAAAGGCAGAAATGAAGGGTTTAGCTGTATAGGAATATTTTTTATTTATTCAGCTAGGTGGTGATGTGTATACAAGTCATTACTGAATTATTCTTTTCATCAGTTTTGTATTCCTTAACTAACAAATCCATCTCCTTGAGATTAATGAATATAGTAATTTCTTGTAAAAATAATAAGTTGAATTCAGTAACATAACAAATCCAGGCAACGAAAACATACTATCCACATGCTTTCATCCAGGATTTGTCATTATCCCCAACATTCTCAAAGAGTGAAGTATTTATTTAGGTCCACAGAATTTTGCTTATTAAACAAGGTTAGCTCACTTTCCTTCCTGTACTAGCCTGAGGCTACAACTATATTCCACTCATTTTCTTACACTGCTTAACATATATCAACCAGTCAAGGGTAAACTTTCGTTGTCCTCTAATTCAGCTATTCCTCAGTTTCTTCTAAATTGTGCGAGCAGCTGTGTTATTCCTAAGGGGTAAAAACATGTTAAAGATGAAACATTACTTTGGAAGATGCGAATAATGGCCTGAAATATAGCATAGAAAAGTCTTGTACTCATTCTAAGTCTGACGAAGAAAATCACTGGACTTTCTTTCCCTTTCCAGAGCAAAATGTGGCCCTGAAAAACTAAAGGAATAAAAGAGAGGGAAATAATTCATCCAGCTCTGTGTAACCGGAAATAGGAAAAGAACCATAGAAGAAAATCTGATTAATAAGAACTCTCAATAAAGAATTTCAAGGTTGCACAAAACTGGAGATGCTGCTCTTAGTCAAATATATGTCAACTTTTGTATGTAATAATGTATAGTAAACTAAAATGTATTTATTCATATAGATTTTGATTTGATTACAACTCAAAACAGAAAAAATACCCTATTGCTTCATAATCATGCCTATATAGAAATAAAAATACTGAAGCATTATTTGCTGGTAGATGTACAGAGGTTAGAATATGGGAATATATAAAGTAGTTAACTTGCGGCCGGGCGTGGTGGCTCACCTCTGTAATCCCAACACTTTGGGAGGCCGAGGCGGGTGGATCACCTGAGGTCAGGAGTTTGAGACCAGCCTGACCAACATGGAAAAACCCCGTCTCTACTAAAAATACAAAAAAATTAGCCGGGCGTAGTGGCGCATGCCTGTAATCCCAGATACTTGAGAGGCTGAGGCAGGAGAATCACTTGATCCTGGGAGGCGGAGGTTGCGGTGAGCCGAGATCCCACCATTGCACTCCAGCCTGGGCAACAAGAGTGAAACTCCGTCTCAAAAAGGAGCGAAACTCCGTCTCAAAAAAGAAAAAAAAAATAATAAAAAATAAAGTTGTTAACTTGCACTAATTAGGCTCACACATGAATATCTATTCGACTTTCAGAAACTTGCAGGTTCAGAGGACAAAGGCATAAGTGTCAATTAATAAATGTGAAATGTGACAACATATTTCAAAGAACTTTATAAATGTAAATTGCTATAGAAATGCAATTTGTTACTATTGATTTGTATTTAGCATGTGGTAAATCAATTTATGAAACATCAAATAAGCATACATTTATATTCATATGTATGTATACATGCACATACACACACACATAAATACATGTATTTTTTTCTGAGATACAAAATAAACTGCTAATATTTGAGAAAAATGCTCATGAAAAAATCTGTGTGCCCTAAAAATGCAGCATAGTCTGTAAGGGCAGAGAAGAATATGGGATAGGGGAGAGCATAGAAAAGGCTTTAATTATATGGTAATATTTATTTCTTCAGCTAGGTGGAATGTACACAGATAATTACTGTATTATTTCTTTGATAAGTTTGTCATTTTTTTAAACAAATAGATACAATTATTTTAAAGATAAAGAATAATCTATTTTAAATGTTTGTAGATATTTGTGAGAGAGAAAAAAACTAAAAAAGAAAACATGTAACTGCTGCTCAACTACAGAACAAAATATGCACATATACTTTTACATATGCATGCACACACACACACACACACACACATACTGCAGCATGGTCTAATGAGATTAGAAACTTTGAAATTCTGTTTATAGCTCTACCACAACTGAGATACTTGATCTTATACAAATCACCTCACTTCACTGAAGTCCATTCACTTGCCTGAAGGAGAGATTTTTTAATACCTAGAGAAGCCACTGTGAGTATAGTATAATGTAGGCAAAAGCAATTTATAGATTGAAAACCACTATACCATAGTCAAATGTTATGAATTAGTAGTAAGTGCAATATGTGTTGAGGTGAGGATGAAAATCCTGCTTGCCTATTCAGTCACTATGTTGAATACCTTTGTAGCCTGAAATCGAATTAGAAGTTGCATACATACGCACATAAGGAAAAAAATATTTCTTGTTTGAAATGGTTTTATCTTTCAAGATAATGCCTTCTACGAGTGTGGGTAGAAGAGTGGACAGAACAGTGATTACCTGTGTTTAAGAATGGCGTATGAGGGTATATGCTACCTAAATCAGATGCCAAAGTCAGACTGGAGGGAGGCAGGACTCAATCTATAGATCACATATTTTACTAAATTTGATTAAATTCTCAACTTATATTTTCTCATATTTTATGCACATTTCTAATCTTTAAAGTATGCAAGGGTCTTATATTGTGCATTTTAGAGATGCAGAGATGAGTTCAGGAAAAAACAAGTATAATGCCAAGATGAGGAACAGCTACGACCTCCCCAATTTAGGCCACCAGCACTTCTCACACAGCATAGTGCAATAGCCTTCCAACCCCTCTCCCTGCTTTTGTCTTTTCCCTACTATTTTCTACACAGTGGCCAGAAAGATTTATCTAACGTAGTGTTTCTTAAAGTATGTTCCTCACCCATCAACGTCAAAGTCACCTGACATACCTTATTAAATAGTGCAGATTATCAAACCCCACCTCAGATCATCTGTTTTCATAGGTCTGAGGTTGAATCTAAGAATAAGTGTTTTAGTGATACCCTAGGTGACTTCGATATCACTGACATTTAAAACAACTAAGGCAGGAGGTGTATCACAATGCCACTCCTCTGCTCAAAACCTTCCAACTGGCTTCCACTCTCACTCTTGAAAGGCCAAAAGAGACATCATGATTTACAAGGCTCTTCTTGACTTATCTGACTCCATCTTTTACCAAACAACACTCTACCTTGCTTACCGCCTCAACCATTGTGGCCTTTTTGCTCTTCTTAAACTGCTCCTGCCATGGTGCCTTTGCACTTACTTTCTGCTATGTTGGGAACGTTGCTTTTCTTCTATGTTCTGAAGCTCATCCCTTCGCTCTTTTCAGGTCCTGGATCAAAGGTCACTTCATCTCAGAGAGGCCTTCCTTGACCATCCAATATTGACTAGAATCCCCTTCCCTGTCTTTATTTGTATTCATATAAAGTACCATAACATGACATATACTTGTTTGTCTTCTCTCACTTCAATTCAGGCTCTGTGACAGAAGAAATATGTCCTGTTTGTTATCCACATTGCCTAGGGCAGTGTTTAGTGCCTAGCAGGCTACTAAGAAACATTTGTGAAGGTAATTAAAAAACCTGAAACTTTACTCTTTCATCTGTTTCCTGCTCCTTGCATGCTCTCTCGCTGCTTTTTCTTTCTTTCTTGTAATCTCCTTCCTCTTGTTCTCTCTCACTATCCAGTATTCTTCCTTCATCCTGCATTCTCCTTCCTTTCTTTAGATATCCTACCCTTCTATTTCCTCTGGTATGCACTCTTCCTCAATTCCAAGCCTTTCTCTATCATGCTCTCTCCTTCTTTCCCCTCCTCTTGTATTATCCATCTACCACGCAATCTCTCTCTTCTCTTTCATTCTTGCAATCTCCCTCCTTTCATGCTCTGTCTGAATTTTTTAATTTCCTCCTCCCTCCCTCCCACCAGTATTCTCTCTCCATCGTAGTTGATCTCAGCCTCGGTGTTTCTGCCTCCCACCCCTGTCTGGAGACATTTCTGATTTTCACAACTAGGAAGAGTACTGTTACTTATATCAATTGGATCAAAACTAGAGATTCTGCTCTGTATCGTACAATGTGTGTTAAGTCACTCCCCCACAGCAAAGAAAAATCTGGAGCAAAATGTGAAGAGTGCTGAATTTAAGACACCCTGATTTTCAGATTACCACACCACGCTAAACTTTTCTGACTCCACACATTTATATATACATATATATATATACAGTGAATATATATATATATACACACATATATATTCACTAAAAGCTAATTTTTAAGCTCTGAAAGTTGTGAGAAGTTTGAGCATATTAACCCTTATAGATTTCAAAGTCAGGTCAATTTGCAAGCAGTATGAAAATGAGCATCGTAAAGCCTGTCATCTTAGAATATAAAAAAAAATAAGAAAAATACTTTTAACATATCAATTTGATTTTTATCCCAAACCAATCAGCATTGTCAAAATCCTAAAGTCAGACCAAGAATTTTGATTCTTGAATTTGTAGATTTTGTAGGTTATGATATACTTAAGAATTGTTAAAACTCTAGATGCTGTGAAAAATTTCAGCATATTGACTTCAAAGTTTTCAAGCTGAGCCCAATTTGCAATTTTAGTATCAAGTATTCTCACGATTAGACATGAACTCACTAAAGAAATACATTACGGATATATCTAATCACAGGTCACAAATAAACAAACTTTTAGGTCAAAAAGCAATGTTTTCTGCTGAAGGCATTTTAAAAGAGTGTTATCTCTTATCTTTTTGATTTTAATATCTTTAAGAGCCTCAGAAAAATTTTAACCTTTATGAAGAACCTGAGGTTTTCAGGATAGTAAGAAATTCTCACCATTTTATATAAAATAAATGTCAAGTTGGATAAGGACATATCTCGTTGGTTTTTACCATTTATCCTAATCAATTTAATATCACTTCCAGCATGTCACAGCACTGCATAAACAATATGGTAATTGGAATTCCTCTGCTCCTTGAATTAGTAAGCAAATTACAGTGCATATCAATCATGCATAATGAGTCTGAAGCATGGCTTGATTACATTTCATTTGCATAAGAATTTTCTCTAATTTTTAAAAACTGATCATTTTTAATTCCGAATAGATTTAAATGCCACATAACTGCTGCTCTCCTCTTGAAATGCAAAGCGACGTTCTTACATAATACAAAAATGCTAATCAAATTTTTAAAGCAGAACCTGGCTTGTTAATGAATTTTCACCTTTCTACAAGCTGTCAAATCTCATTACATTGTCACCTTTTTGGGTTCACAATTGGAATGCACCTTGATGTGGCTCAATTCTAATTGTAACATTATGTTGCTACACTTACAAGGGAAACATCTTTTAAATAATTCTTGGATTGTTCAATTTGGAGGGTAACTTCCTCTCTTTGCATCCTGTAGCTTGTAAAACCCCTACTGTTTACATAAATATTGACGCAAACATAGTCTCTGATAAGCCAAAAGTCTAAAGCATAAAAATGAAACAAACAGGAAACAGCAGACAAATAAATATAGATTTTGGAGTTAAATTATAATGATGTAGGATGGAGTAATAAAAACAGCTTATTAAATATAACTATTTAGAAATATAACTCATTAGGGAGATGTATTAAAATAATTACTCATAAAATATTTCAGAAGATAGCCAATTTTTTGATTTTCATATGTGTATTTCCTACAGTAGTCAACAATTTTAAAGGTGAAAAAGATTTTAAAGATTTTAACATGTGAAAGATACTTAAATCTTTTAAAAGAACATTTCTAAGAGTAGACCTTAGAAATCAAGAAAAGGTGTAGGACAAGTGACTTATTTTTAAAACATACCATGTGCTATGTAAATTTTTTAATGTTTAGTGGGATAAAAGGAATCAGTTATATGAGAGAAGCCAGCAACTAGTGAAAAAAAAAGTGAATTTAGTTGCACAATAAACTCTCAGATGCAAGTCTCTAAGAAAACCCACGTACTAGTACATTGGTTAGAAATAGCAGTTCCTAATACATCTGATTACCACATATTAAATTTTCTATTCTTTGCAAGGAAAAAACATATATTGTCAATTATGATAACTTGTTCTTAAATTTTAATTTCTAGCTTTTATGAGTAAATAGTAAGTGTACATATTTATAGGTTACATGAGATATTTTGATACAGGTGTGCAATGTGCAATACGTGATAATCACATCAAGGTAAATGAAGTATCTTGCATTTATCCTATGTATTACTAACAATCCAATTCTACTCTTTTAGTTATTTCAAACTGTACTATCAAGTTATTTTTGACTATAGTCACCCCGTTGTGCCAGCAATACTAGGTCTTATTCACAGTAAATTTTATTCCTCTAGAGGAACTGAAAAACTTCCATGGAGAAAAATCAGCATGGTAAAAGATTTTACTGAATCATTGTGAGGCATGCTTCCATCAGTAAATTCCTGGTTTAGAAGCTATCATGGAGGGAGGTGGAGCAAAATGGCAGAAGGGAAAGCTCCACCAATCACCCCACCCCCCCTAAAAAAATCACCAAGTTGACAACTATCTACATAGGAAAAAACACTTCCATGAGAACCAAAAATCAGGTGAGCACCCACAGTACCTGGTTTTAACTGCATATGGCTAAAAGAGGCACTGAAGAGATAGATAGAAACAGTCCTGAATCACCAATACTGCCCCTCCCCCACACCCAGCAGCCACAGCATGGTGCTGAGAGCATCTCTAGGCACTGGGGTAGAAAGAACACAGCAATTGTGAGGTTACAAACTCAGTGTTGTCCTGTTAGAGCAGAAAGGAAAACCAGAACAAACAGCTGAGGCCCATCCACAGATGGAGCATTTAAAGAGGTTTCAGCCAGAGGAGTTCACCCATCCCCGGGGCCCCAACTAGGGTGAGAGCACACATCGCCACGAAGGGCCCAAGTTGTTCTTGGTCTCTAAGTAAACTCGAAAGGCAGCCTAGACAATAAGGACTGGAACTAGTAGGCGAGTCCTAGGGCTGAACTAGACCCAGTGGCCTGGGATAGAGGTTGCAGCAAATTACATAATGACAAACCAGCTGGGGCAGCCAAGAGAATGCTGGCATCACTCCTCCCCCAACCCCATACTGCACAGCTCATGGCTCCAAAAGAGACCACTGTCATCTGTCTGAGGAGTAAAGAGGGAAGAGTGGGAAGGCTTTTGTTTTTTGGTTTTGGTTGTTTTGTTTTGTTTTGCATTTTGGACAACAGCCAGCCACAGCAGAATAGGGAACTGGTCAGATAAAAGAGGCCCCTGTTCCAGGCCCTAGCTCCCAGACAACATTCCTAGACACACCCTGGGCCAAGAAAAGACTCACTTCCTTGAAGAAAAGAACGTAGTGCTGGAAGCATTCATCACCTGCGAACTGAAGAGCCTTGTGGTACAGAATAATGGTCAGTGATACCCAGGTACTATATCAAGGGCCTTGGTGAGCTTCTGAGATTTGCTGGCTTCAGGTGAGACTCGGCACAATACCGGCTGTGGTGTCTATGGGACAAAACTTGTGCTTGAGCAAAGAAGGAAAAGTAAAGAAGACTTTTTCTTGCACCTGAGGTACCAACACCGCCAGAGGGGTTATAGTACTAAGCAGGCTCTTGGGGTCCCCGATTCCAGGGCTTAACTATGGATGGTATTCTGGACCTACATTTGGCAAGAAAGGATCCCACTGTACTAAAGGGTGAGTCCCAGGCCAAGTAGCATTCACCTCAAGCTGACTTAAGAGACTTTAGGCCTTAAAGGAACATTGGTGTAGTCTGGTAGTACTCCTCATGGTCAAAGGTGGCAGTGGCTATGGGGTAAAACTCCTGTGCCTTTGAAAAGGGGGAGAATGAATGGGAAAAACTGCATCCGGTGATGAGTGCCAGTTCAGCTGCAATACCAGAGAATACCAGGTAGACTTCTAAGGTTTTTGACTCTACTCTCTGTCTCCCAGATGTAACTTCTGGACCCACCCAAGGCCTGGGAGAACTCACACCCTGATGGGAGGAACACATGTCTGGCTGGATTTGCTACCCACTGACTGAAGAGCCCCAGGGCCTTGAGCAAACATATGGAGTAGTGAGGGAGTGGTTACAGCACAACTTGGGTTAGACTCAGTGCTGTGCTTGTTTCAGATCTTGCCCAGCACAGTCGCAGTGGTCGTTGGCAACAGGGGTACTTGATTACTCCACCCTCAGCCTTAGGTGGCTCAGAACAGAAAAAAGGACTATATTTGTGAGAAAGTAATAAAAGAGAATAAGAAATTCTGCCTGGTAATCCAGAGAATTCTCCCAGATTTTGTCGAAGACCATCAAAGTGGTATCTTTACGAGTCTGCAAGAACCGCAGGATTTTGGGTGTCCCTTAAAGCAGAAACAGCTTAGATTACAAACTTAAGTCCTTTCAAATATCTGGAAACCTTCCAAAGAAGGATGGCTACAGAAAAGGCCAGACAGTGAAGACAACAATAATGACCTAACTCTTCAATGCCCAGACAGTGAACAACATCTAATAGCATCTACACCATCCAGGAAAACATAATCTTAACAAATGAACTTAACAAGGCACCAGGGACCAATCCTGGAGAAATAGAGGTATGTGACCTTTTAGACAGAGAATTCAAAATAACTGTCCTGAGAAAACTCAACAATATTCGAGATAACACATAAAAGAAATTCAAGATTGTATTAGATTAATTTATGAAAGAGATTAAAATAATGCAAAAGATTCAAGCATAAATTCTGCAAAAAAACAACTGGCATACTGAAGAATGTATCAGAGCTCTTTAACAGCAGAGTGAATCCAGCAAAAGAAAGAATCAGTGAGCTTGAGGACAGGCTATTTGAAAATACACAGTCAGAGGAGACAAAAGAAAACAAAACAATAACAAACAATGAAGCATGCGTCCAGGATTTAGAAAACAGCCTCAAAGGGCAAATCTAACAGTTATTGGCCTTAAAAAGGAGGTAGAGAAAGAGACAGAGGTAGAAAGTTTGTTCAAATAAATAATAGCAAAGAACTTTCCAAACCTAGAGAAATATGTCAATATCAAAGAAGAAAGTTATAGAACACCAAGCAGATTTAACCCAAAGAAGACTAACTCAAGGCATTTTATAATCAAACTCAAAGGTCAAGGCAAAGTAAGGATCCTAAAATCAGCAAGAGAAAAGAAACAAATAACATACAATTAAGCTCCAATACGTCTCGCAGAAGAATTTTAAGTGGGAACCTTACAGGCTAAGAGAGAGTGGCATATCAAATTTGAAGTGCTGAAGAAAAAAAATGATTACCTTGGAATAGTATATCTGCTGAAAATATCCCTCAAACATGAAGGAGAACTACATTCCCAGGTAAACAAAAGGTGAGGGATTTCATTAATACCAGAACCATCCTACAAGAAATGCTAAAGACAGTACATCAAACAGAAAGAAAAGGACATTAATGAGCAATAAATAATCACCTGAGGGTACAAAACTTAATGGTAATAGTGAGTACACAGAAAAACAGAATATTTTATCACTGTAACTGTGACGTGTAAACTACTCTTACACTAAATACAAAGATTAAATGATGAACTAATCGAATGTAATAACTACAAAAACATTTCAAAGCACAGTCAGTAAATTTACTTATAAATAGTAATGACAAAAGGTAAAACAGCAGGGGGATGAAGTTAACGTGAGGTTTATTAGTTTTCCTCTTGCTTGCTTTTTGTTTACACAAAAGGCATTAAGTTGTTATCAGGTTAAAATAATGGGTTATAAGTTAATATTTGCACGCCTCATGAGAACTTCAAATCAAAAAACAGACAATGGATGCACAATAAATAAAAAGAAACTAAATCGCATTACCAGATAAAATTATTTTCACAGGACGAAGACAGGAATGAGACTGAAAATAACAGGGTGGAAAAATATATTCCATGCCAATGGAAAACAAAAAAGAGCAGGAGTCGTTATACTTATATTAGACATAACAGATTTGAAGAAAAAAAAACTATTTGAAGAGACAAAGGTCACCCTATAATGACAAAAGTGTCAATTCAGCAGAGGAAATAAAAAATTTAATTATATATGCACTCAATACCAGAGCATCCAGATACACAAAGGAAATATTATTAGAACTAAAGAGGGAGATAGGCCCCAATACAATAATATATGAAGACTTCAACAGCCAAGTTTCAACATCTGACATATTTCCAGACAGAAAAACAACAAAATCAGTCTTAATCTGCACTGTATATCAAATGGATCTAGTAGATATTTAGAGAACATTTTATCCAAGAGTTACAGACTACACATTCGTTTTCTTAGTCCAAAGACCATTCTCAAGAATAGACCATAAGTTAGGTCACAAAACAAGTCTTAAAACATAGAAAAAAGTTAAAATAATATCAAGTATCTTCTCTGACCACAGTGGAATAAAACTTGAAATTAACAACAGGAAGAATTTTAGAAACTATACAAACACATGAAAATTAAACAATATGCTCCTGAATGACTAGTGGGTAAATGAAGAAATTGAGAAGAAAACTGAAAAATTTTTTGAAACTAAAGATAATGAAAACACAACACATCATAACCTATGGGATACAGCAAAAACAGTACTCAGAGAGAAGGTTATAGCCATAAGTTCCTACATCAAAAAAGGGGCAAAAACTTCAAATAAACAATCTAAAAATGTACCTTAAAGAAATAGAAAAGCAAGAACAAATCAAAGCCAATATTAGTAGACAAAAAATATAAATATCAGAGCACAAATAAATAAAACAGAAACGAGAAAACATGAAAGATACAAAAACCAAAAAGTTACCTTTTTGACAAGAAAAACAAAATTGACATACCTTTAACCAGACTAAGAAAAAAAGAGAAGATCTGAATAACTAAAATCAGAAATGAAAAATGAGACAATACAGCTGATAAGCAGAAATTATAAGGATTATTAGTGACTACTCTGAGTATATGTTAATACGTTGGAAAATCTAGAATAAATGGACAAATTCCTAGGTATAGACAACCTGCCATGATAGAACCAGAAAGAAATGCAAAACGTGAACAGACCAATGACAAGTAACAAGATCAAAGCCATAAGTAAACATCTTACAGTAAAGAAAAACTGGGACCTAATGTCTTCACTACTGAATTTTACCAAACATTTAAAGAAGAACTAATACCAATCCTACTGAAACAATTCAAAAAACAATTCAAAAAAAAAAAAAAAAAAAACTAATTCTACAAGGCCAGGATTATCCTGACACTAAAACCAGACAAAGACACATCAAAGATAGAAACCTACAGGCCAAAATCTCTGATGAATATTGATGCCAAAATCCTGAACCAAATACTAGCAAACCAAATTCAACAATACTTTAGTAACTTTATTCATCAAGACAAAGAGGAATTTATCCCTGAGATGCAAGGACGGTTTAATATATGCAAATAAATCAATGCAATATATCATATCAATTGATGCTGAAAGAGTATCAGATTAAATTTAACATCCATTTATGATATAAATGCTCAAAAACCGAGGTATAGAAGGAACATATGCAACATAATCAAAACCATATATGACAGACTCACAGCTAGTATCATAGCGATTGGAATAAAAAACTGCAAGTCTTTCTCTAAGGTCTGGAAGATGACAAGAATGCCCATTGTCACCACCGTTTTTCAACCGAGTACTGGAAGTCCTAGCTAGAGCATTCAGACAAAAGAATGATATAAAAGTGTATTGGTCTGTTTTCACATTGCTATAAAGAGCTACCTGAGACTGGGTAATTTATAAAGAAAAGCAGTTTAATTGCCTCACAGTTCCATAGGCTGGACAAGAAGCATGGCAGAGGAGGCCTCTGGTAACTTACAATCATGGCTGAAGATGAAGGGAAAGCTGGTACATCCTACATGGCTGGAGCAGAAGGAAAACAGAGTGAGGGGGTGTTGCTACACACATTTAAACAACCAGATCTCATGAGAACTCGTTGCAGATGATATGATATTATATTCGGAAAAACCTAAAACTCCACAAGAAAACTCTTAAAACTTATAAACAAATTGAGTTAAGTTGTGGGATACTAACTCAACATACATAAATCACTAGCATTTCTATATGCCAACAGTGAACAATGTGAAGAAGAAATAAAAGGAGTAATCCAATTTATAGTAGCCATACAGAAAATTAAATACCTAGAAATTAACCAAAGATGTGAAATATCTCTCTGATGGAAACAAAGAAAATTAAAGAGGACACAAAAAAATGGAAAAATATTCTATGCTAATGGATTGGAAGAATCAATAATGTTAAAAATGTCCATACTACCCAAAGGAATCTACACATTCAATGCATGAAATCGCCATCAAAATACCATTACCATTTCTTCATAGAAGACCCAGAATAATCAACGCTATCCAAGGCAAAAAGAACAAAACTGGAGGAATCGCATTACCTGACTTCAAATTATATTACAGAGACATAGTAACCAAAATAGCCTGGTACTGCCATAAAAATAGACACGTAGACCTATGGTACAGAATAGAGAACTCAGAAACAAACTCACACATGTACAGTGAAGTCATTTATTACAAAGATGCCAAGAACATATACTGGGAAAAAGACAGTCTCTTCAGTAAATGGAGGGGCTGGGAGAACTGAATATTTATATGCAAAAGAATGAAACTCCAACCCTATCTCTTACCATGTACAAAAATTAAATCAAAATGGATTAAAAAGTAGCTGGGCCTGGTGGTACGTGCCTGTAGTCTCAGCTGCTCAGAAGACTGAGGTGGGAGAATCACTTGAACCTGGGAGGTGGAGGGTGCAGTGAGCTGAGATCACCCCACTGCACCCCAGCCTGGGCAACAGAATGAGATCCTGTCTCAAATTAAAAAAAAAAAATGACTAAATACTTAAACCTAATAGCACATACTATGAAACTACTACAAGAAAACTTTGGGGAAAATCACCAGGATATTGGCCTGGGTAAACATGTCTTGAGCAACACCCCACTAGCACAGGCAATCAAAGCAAACATGGACAAATGTAATCTCATCAAGTTAAAAAGCTTCTGCACAGCTAAGGGTGAAATCAACAAAGTGAAGAGACAACCCACAAAATGGAAGAAAACATTTGCAAGCTACCCCTCTGACAAGAAATTAATACACAGAATATATAATGAGCTCAAACAACGCTATAGGAAAATAAATCTAATAATTCGATCTAAAATGAATAAAATATTTGAATAGACCTTTCTCAAAACAAGACATACAAATGGAAAACAGGTATATAAAAATGTTTAACATCACTAATCATTGGAGAAATGAAAATCAAAACTACAATGAGATATTATCTCACCCTAATTAAGGTGGCTTATATCCAAAAGACAGGCAATAAAAAATACTGGTGAGGATTTAGAGAAGAGGCAACACTTGTACACTGTTGGTGGGAATGTAAGTTAGTTCAGCCTAACTTGGAGAACTGTTTGGAGGTTCCTCAAAAATCTAAAAATTGAGCTACCATATGATCCAGCAGTCTTACTGTGAGGGAAGAGAGAGACCCTCTCATATTGTTTTATATTGTTTTATACTCAGTACCTGTTTTAAAAAAAACAACAAGGAAGTAAAACCAAAGACAGGCAGCCCGGCGCCAGCCCCGAAACCAAGCCTGGGCCTGCCTGGCCTAAACCCAGTAGTTAAAAATCAACTCATAACTTAAAAACCGATGTTATTCATAGATTCCAGACATTGTACAGAAGAACATTGTGAAACTCCCTGCCCTGTTCTGTTTCTCTCTGACCACCAGTGCATGCAGCCCCTGTCACATGCCCCTTGCTTGCTCAAATCAATCATGACCCTTTCATGTGAAAGGTTGGGCTTAGAGTTGTGAGCCCTTAAAAGGGACAGGAACTGCTCGTTCCGGGAGCTCGGATTTTAAGGCAGTAGCTTGCTGATGCTCCCAGCTGAATAAAGCCCTTCCTTCTACAACTCGGTGTCTGAGAGGTTTTGTCTGCGGCTCATCCTGCTACAACTGATGGATATATACCCAAAATAAAGGAAACTCGTATATCAAAGAGATATCTGTACTCCAATGTTTATTGCAGCACTGTTTACAATAGCTAAGATTTTGAAGCAACCTAAGGGTCCATTAACAGGTGAATGGATTACGAAAATATGGTACACATACACAATGATGTTCTATTCAGCCATAAAATTGAATGAGATCCAGTCATTTGCAACAACATGGACGGAAGTGGAGATTGTTATGTTACGTGAAGTAAGCCAGGAACAGAGAGACACGCATTACATGTTCTCACTTATTTGTGGGATTTAAAAATCAAAACAATTGAACTCCTCGTAATAGAGAGTAAAAGGATGGTTACCAGAAGCTTTTATTGTTAGTGGGGTTTTGTGGGGCAGGGGGGGATAGTTACTGGTTATAAAAACATAGAAAAATGAATAGGACCTACTATTTGATAGCACAATAGGGTGACGATAGTAAATAATAACTTGATCATATATTTTAAAGTAACTTAAATAATGTAATTGGACTATTTGTAACTCAAAGAATAAATGTTTGAGTTGATGAGTAGATACCCCATTCTTTATGATGTGTTCATGTATTCATAAATAAATGTATGCACCTGCTACATACCCACAAAAATTTTAAGATAATAAAAATATTTAAAAAGTAAAAAGTAGAAAAAATATAAAGAATTGTTTACTGTTTTTTTTCCCATGAAAATCTCATATATGCCTTGTTGATATAATCACCTGTATGCAAGGCCTATGAGCCATTCTTTTACTTTCCTATCCCCTACTGTTTTCATTGTTCTTTCTTCCTCTTAAGCACAACAGGCACACTTCTACCCCAGGATGTTTGTAATTGTGATCTCCTCTTCCTGGAATCCCTTTGCTTCAGACATCTGCATAGATCATGCTTGTACATCTTGCAGGTTTGTGTTCAAAAGTCACTGTATGAGTGCGGCCTTCACTGACCACCCAGTTTAAAATATTTTTATTCCAGAATTTTCTATCTCCCTTTCTTTCATTTTATTTTTATGGTTCTCATCAGTCACCATTATCTATTCAAAATACAGGTTTTGCCCCATAATTTTTAAGTTTGTGTAATAGATATAAATATATCTAGGAGCGGTCTGCATTGATTTGGGGATGAAAGCATTGTTAACAGTAAGTGGAGACAGAGGATGAAATAAATACAGTCCACACTTCAAATGGCTTCCAAATCACTGCTACCCAAAAGAATGAATGCTACATTTTTTTCACTCTCATTTAGATAAACTAGCAGATACTTAGAGAACAGAGAGTCTAAAATGCAAATTTCTACTATTGTAAGTTAGATTGTGCTTTATGGCTGAACCAAGTGCATAAGCAATCATTAATGTCTGCCCAAGACATGCCCACGACTAAGCTTATAGTACTCAGTCAGCTAGTAAGGAATAGGTTAACATTAGTTGAGGATGTTACTACATTATTATACAAATATATATTCATTTAGTGGTTGCTTGAAAACTTTACCTTTAAACAAGGTAAAGCTTATTTATTTGTATATACATTTTATATTTATAGATACATTTACATAAAATGTATAAATATGTTTATATATACATTTATTTATGTATTCACTGGCGTAACATCTATTTGCAATATTAATCACTGAGATGTGAAAAAATTTCCTTATCATAACTGGCAGCCCAAGAAAAAAAGATCTAATGCAGAAAAAGCTCTACCAGATTTAGAAAGTGTGAATTCTTTCAGTATCTTCTGATCAATATTAATGTCAAAACAGATTCTTCTGAGAAAATTCATCTTTGCTCATATTAAGCAATATTTATTACAAACATAGATCAGGAAAAATGCTCAGGTCTTGAATCTTGCCAAATGAAGATGGAAGCACAATTGCAATGGCGGACAATAAACAATAATGATAAGACTGAACACCTCTTGCTGAATGCCTGCTATGTGCCAGGTATGGTGTTAGAAACTAAGAAACAATCTCTCATGCAATCTTCAAACAACTCTGGAAAGTAGGTACCATTTTTCACCATATTATTATTTTATTATTATTATTATTTATTATTATTCTTTGAGTTTTAGGGTACATGTGCACAATGTGCAGGTTTGTTACATATGTATACATGTGCCATGCTGGTGTGCTGCACCCATTAACTCGTCATTTAGTATTAGGTATATCTCCTAATGCTATCCCTCTCCCCTCCCCCCACCCCACAACAGTCCCCAGAGTGTGATGTTCCCCTTCCTGTGTCCATGTGTTCTCATTGTTCCATTCCCACCTATGAGTGAGAACATGCGGTGTTTGGTTTTTTGTCCTTGTGATAGTTTACTGAGACCGATGATTTCCAATTTCATCCATGTCCCTACAAAGGACATGAACTCATCATTTTTTATGGCTGCATAGTATTCCATGCTGTATATGTGCCACATTTTCTTAATCCAGTCTATCATTGTTGGACATTTGGATTGGTTCCAAGTCTTTGCTATTGTGAATAGTGCCGCAATAAACATACGTGTGCATGTGTCTTTATAGCAGCATGATTTATAGTCCTTTGGGTATATACCCAGTAATGGGATGGCTGGGTCAAATGGTATTTCTAGGTCTAGATCCCTGAGGAATCGCCACACTGACTTCCACAATGGTTGAACCAGTTTACAGTCCCACCAACAGTGTAAAAGTGTTCACCATATTATTAAGGAACTTGAAACTCAGAAATATGAAGTGACATACCTAAAATCACAGTCATGTGACAGTAAAAAGAGTTGCTGGGTGTATTAGTTCATCCTCACACTGCAAATAAAGACATACCCAAGACTGGATAATTTATAAAGGAGAGAGGTTTAATTGACTCACAGTTCAGCATGGCTGGGGAGGCCTCAAGAAACTTAAAATCATGGCGGAAGGGGAAGCAAACACAACCTTCATCACATGATGACAGGAAGGAGAAGTGCCAAGCAAAAAGGGAAAAGCCTCTTATAAAACCATCAGATCTCATGAGAACTCACTCACCATAATGAGAAGAGCCAGCATGGGGTAACCACAGCCATGATTCACTTACCTCCTACCAGGTCCTTCCCATGACACGTGGGGATTAATGGAACTACAATTCAAGATGAGACTTGGGTTGGAACACAGCCAAACCATATCACTGGGATTCCAACCCAGAGGTCTGGATTCAAAAACTAAGCACTTTAGTCTACATTATCTTCTAGGATACATTAAGGGGTCAGAAAACTGAGACCATTTGGAACTATAAAATAAAAATGATAGCATCATAGTTGCATACCTAGGACCACATTCTTTCCTGTAGGCCTTACTATCTAATAAGTCCATTGAGAGGTAATGTGGAGAAGGTAGCTAGAAAAGTGGAATAATTTTTTATTTGTATAGATTCCTAGAGTTTATAAAGCATTATTTAACACGTTAGCTTGTTGGATTCTTATTATAATGGCAGGTGTCAATTCCATTTTCCAATTAAGTGAAGTGAGGTTCAGAGAGATTAAGGTATTTTTCTGGAGCCATTTAGAAGCAAGAACTCAAACCCAAACCCCATGTTTCTAAAATAATAAATAATAAATAAATAATAAAAATTATTATTTTTTTTTTTACTGTCTGGTGCTCAGTTGTTCAGCTCCCTCAAAAATACATAAGATGCTATCTATTTAGAAATATACTTTAAACCTTTAAATTATTAAGATGGTTAAATCATTTAAAATGCTTATTTTGTGTACATAAAATTAATTTCTATTCCTTTCAAATAAAACCATGTATGTATATAAATGTATGTTTACATATATGTATGTATATTAGTGCTTGCCAAAGATTCTTGAATCAAAGGGAACGTTTATAGTTTTCTGTTTTAACCCTGTTAAGTTTTAGCAGTGATAGTAGGAGAATTCAATAAAATGAGAATAAAATGTAACAATCTACTCTGCAAATTTGAAACACATCTCCTTATTTTTAAAATGCAGTTATAAAAAGCATTAATTTAAATCTGCAATATGTGGCACGCATTAGGAATAATACATGTTTGATCATTAAAATGGCATATTTTATTATTCCATTTTGATTTCTATTTTATTATTTTTTGCCTGTGGTTAGCAAAATGTCATTATGTTATCTCTAGGCAATTGTTCCTGCTTTGAAGAGAAGATGAGGTTGCTTTTTGATACATTCATATGTCTTTGAAATAGCTACCTTGTATTCACTCAATCTTGACATCTAGATCACAGTACCTATAATGTAGTGTAATATCTTTAGAAGGTCTATAAATAAATGGTTGCTAAGGTTATGAAAATTAAAAAAAAGATAAACAAGAGACCATAGTAGTGGCAGATTTCAGTGACATACTACATTTATATTTTCCTATATTTCATGTTATAGAAAAATGTGTTATAATTTGTTGAATTCTGTTTTTCATTTCAGTAGGCATAAGAAACAATATGTTTAATTACAGTCAATGTCTCATTTTATGTTTCATTATTTTTCTGCCTAATTTATCATTTTGTCTTGCTCATTACAACTTTCTGTTCACTTTTGATTACAGATGTGGAAACTGTGAGTTCTGCAGTGTCCTCTGAAAAATATTAATATAAAAAAATTCCTCTGAGCAGGACCACTTTAGGTTATACTGAGTAGTATTTATTATGTGGAACCATCTTGTTAAATTGATAGTTAACAGCAAACTATTTTCTGATTGTGTTCTATTAGGACTAATTTAAAACAAAAGTATAACTCTGATCTTAGGATAATTTAATGTTCTCCTGCTATTTCCATGGATTTATGGTTATTTTCTCTAGTGAAATTTTCTGTATTGAAAAAAAGCATCATTTTTTTTTCTAGTGGGTATATATGCTACAAGGTGAGAGATTGGCTTTGCATTTTCAAACAATATTGAAATAAAATGTATAAACAATGACAAATGAAATTTAAATATAGAATCATGCACGAATACAGTATTTAAGGAAAAGGGTATTCATTCTCAATGATCCTGATAGTTTTATAGAAGTATAATCAAATGTATATCCTGGTTCTGCTTTTAGTTAGTTGGGTGACTGTGGGTGAGTCACTTCACTGTTTCTAGACCTCTTTTTGTTATCTGAAACATAAAGAATTTGGCCTTCATATAAACTAATGCTCTTACCATTTGTGCATTTTATTTGGTCACTTAATCTCAATTTCTATAGGTGGATTAGAACAGAAAAACAAAGAAGACACAGCTTTCCATGTAGAACAGGTTCAAAAAACATATTTGTTGACTGGGCGTGGTGGCTCACACCTGTAATCCCAGCACTTTGGGAGGCCGAGGCAGGTGGATCACGAGGTCAGGAGATCGAGACTATCCTGGCTAAGACGGTGAAACCCCGTCTCTACTAAAAATACAAAAAATTAGCCGAGCATGGTGGCGGGCGCCTGTAGTGCCACCTACTCGGGAGGCTGAGGCAGGAGAATGGCGTGAACCCGGGAGGCGGAGCTTGCAGTGAGCCCAGATCGCACCACTGCACTCCAGCCTGGGCGACAGAGTAAGACTCCGCCTCAAAAAAAAAAAAAAAAAATTTTGCTGAATGAAATAACAATCTGTGTTGAAAGTGGAGTGGTCAGCCCAAGTACCCTGCTCAGAATAGATTTACCATTGGATGCTTCTGGGTACAGCACACACATTAGTGTTTACACAAGTTACTGGTTACCAAGTGCTCACAACTTCTCATTACTTATCATCTGACATGGCTTGACCTGATCATAGTTAGGTCTGTCTCCTCCCCTTAATCCAGCTCACATGTAAGCAAGCTCCAAGGTGGATAATGTCTTATGACAGAGATATTTCTTGTTGAAGCACTCTGATTTTGCCAAACTGCCCACTCCCAGCACTGGCTCCCCTCTACAAAGTTTTTATGAGCCCTATTACCACTCCCTACAAAAGAAATGCCTTTCTCTGTTTAATTTTGATACACTTGCAGATCCTGACATTGGAGTTTTCTCTCAATTGCAATAGTCATTTATAATATAGTCTCTATTTACATCCAGTTTTGATGTGATTTGATACTAGGCACGTAAGCCGAACTTTACAGCTGTATCATCTTGCCTCTGTGATAATTTAGACGTGTTTATTGTGGCCTTTATATATCTTGACCTCACTAAAAGTCTGTTTTGAATATTTTGTCTTCCTCATGGACAAATATATGAACTGAGTCTATACCATATGGTCTTTTCAGTATCTCTAAAATGTGAACATTTCTGAAGCATTCTTCTCACATGATCCTTTCACTTTTTTTTTTTTTCAGAACCTGTTTGCTCATTCTTTTCTCATTTGCTTCCTGTAATTTGAATATATGTATCTAGGACTTTCTTTTAAATTTTTCTTTTTTTAACCATTCCACTTTTTCCTCCAGTCACTTCTGTGGCTTAAGGATACTTGTAAATATGTATTTCACATCCCAAAACAATATATTTATTTCTATTTTCCCATCTGTCAGGATTTTATATGTACACATATTGGAAAGTTGTTGGGCCTCTTTGTGGCCCAGTTGCAGGCTATGGGACAGTGAAAACCCTCAGAAGAATTAGTTGATCCTGTGAGAAAACAATGTGCCTAAAATGGGATTAGTTGAGAACCTCTAATTGACAATCACCCTCCCTTTAGTGTTCCAAGAAATGTATTTAACTGAGTGCTGTGATTGTTGGTGGCTAATCAACAAAGGAAGGCTCTTCATAGCCCAAGCCCCATTATAAAACATAGTTATTATCATTTGGTTTACATATTTTCATTTTCATTTTATCTGAGCTTGCATATCCTTACTGTCACAATTTACCTTGTCAGTCACTAACCAGAGTGTTCCTCCATCAAGTATGTGGCCACCAGGTAAACCTTTTCTAATTTAATTCTATTTAACCTAATGATGATGTTTTAAATAAAAGAAAGAAATATTTTAAAGAAAGTATAAAAGCATGTGTTAGAGAAATATAACAGAAAATAAATATAATATTAAATAATATAGGAGAGACTGTGAGTAAATATAGAAGGATTGTGAGTGAAAAGTGATAGAATGTGAGTTAATAAAGAAACATAACACAAGGAGTGAGAAAATAAAAAATAAGAATAAAGCATAATCTTCAATACTGTAAGAAAGTAAAAATGAGTACAAGCAATGAGCCTGAGAAAATAAATATATAAATATGAGAAATAGAAAAAGTTAATATGTAAAAATAAAATAATATGAAATAAAGTTTAATGTGGAAGGGATGAGACACTAAAATGAAATTTGATAATGAAAAACAATGAAAGAATAAGAGAAATGTAGAGAATATGCTGACAATGTGAGATTAAAAATGCAAATAACAAAGTATGAGAACATTTATGCAGAAAAAGTAAGAAAATAAGTAGAGTATGAAATAAACTAAGGGGCCATGGTAAAAAGAAAATAAGAGTGTGAGATAATATCAGAATGGGGACAAGGATGAGAAAATAGCGTGGGTGAGAAATGAGACAAAAATAAAAGAATGAGAAACATGAGGAAGTGAGAGATTAAAGAAGAGAATGAGAACACAGACAAATGAGAACACTTTCTTGAGTTCTCTTCATATTTGAACTGAGAAGGGGAAGGCTAATTCAGGTGGCTCTGGAAACGAACTCAGGGGCACCAACCAAAAGAGGGCCGGACAGGGTGCGGTGAGGGTCAAGAGCTGAGCTGCTGCTGGGCCAGTTCCCAGGCATCCTGGAACCAGGTAGAATAGGCATCTGGGCAGGGTGCTACAGAGGCTCCAGAGTACCAGGAGGGAAGAGAGTGGGCAGAGTGAGGCAGAGCAGAGAAAAATTTGCCACTGCTCTGGAGTCTGGAATTTTAGCTTAGCAAAGGTGAGTGAGGGTGGGGGTTGGGGACATGAGGTGGTATAATTACTTATTTTCTTGACTGTAAGGTTTACATTTGCTATAATCTGCTAACCTCTAGAGTCTGGCAATTTGAGCAGTAGAGATCCATTATAATTTTTTTACCTTTACCATGCAGTTGAATTGTTTGCTATATTTTAGCTAATTGATCAGCAAAAAGGCTTTCTACTTTGTAATCCCCTATCTAGCCTCATCACTTCCTATAATGAAGTGAGAAGCACTGTTGTAACATAGACAGGGTTGTTTTAGACACTCTGGGACTCCTGTCACCAGGAAGAACATTTACCTTCAGTGCAAACAGGCTTGATAAACTCAAGATTTATTAAGGGTATCCAAATTGGAAAGGAAAAAGTCAAATTATATTTAGAGAAACCTGAAGACTGTACCAAAAAAACCTGGTAGAACTGATAAACAAAGGCAGTACAGTTGCAAAATACAAAATCAACAAACAAAAAATCCATAAATAGCAAACAATCTGAAAAAGAAATCAGGAATGCAATTTCATTTAAACCCGCTACAAAAATATTTAGAAAATAAATTAAAGAGGTAAAATATATCTGTAATGGGAACTATAAAACACTGATGAAAATAATTGAAGAGGACACACACAAAAAAATAGATCTCATGCTCATAGATTTGAAGAAGTAATATTGTGAAAATGTCCACAGAACGCACAGTGATCTGCAGACTCAGTGAAATCCCTCTCAAAATACCAATATCTTTCTTCTAAGATATACAAAACAGCATTCCTAAAATGCGTATGGAATCACGAAAAATCCAAAATAGCCAAAGTAGTCTTGACCAAAAAGATCAAAGCTGCAGGCATCATACCACCAGATTTTAAAATGTAACAAAAAGCTACAGTAACCAAACAGCATGGTACTGGCATAAAAACAGATACATAGACTAATGGAAAAGAATGGAGAACCCAGAAATAAATTCATGTTTTTACAGCCAACTGATTTTTGACAAAAGCACCAAAAATATTCTTTGGGAAAAAAAAAAGTTTAATAAATGGTGCTAGGAAACTGGATATCTATATGCAGAAGAATGAAATTAGACCCTTTTTTTTTTTGACCTTATCAAGAATCAGCTCAAAATGGATTAAACACTTGAAATTATGGAACTACAAGGCTTGAAACTGGAACTACAAGCTACAAGACTTGAAACTATGGAACTAGCAGAAGAAAACATTTGGGAAATGCTTCAGGACATTGATCAGGGCAATGAGTTTTTGGGTAAAACCTCAAAAGAACAGGCAACAAAAGTGAAAACAGACAAATGGGTTTATATCAAGATAAAATGCTTATGTGCAGCAAAATAAACTATCAACAGAGTGAACAGACAGCCTACAGAATGAGAAAAAGCATTTGCAAACTATAGATCTAACAAGGGACTAATATTCAGAAGACACAAGACACTCAACTCAACCACAAAAAAAATACACAACCCATTGAAAAAATGTCCAAATGATCTGAATAAACATATCTCAAAAGAAGACACACAAAAGACCAACAAGTATAATAAAAACAATGCTCAACATCACTAATCATCAGAAAAATACAAACCAAACCCACAATGAGATATCATCTCACCCTAGTTAAAATGGCTATTTTCAAGAACACGAAAAATAACAGACGCTGGTGAGGACGTGGAGAAAGGAGACTGTTTATACACTGCTGGTGGGAATGTAAAATTGGTACAGTCACTATGTAAAACAGTATACAATTATTCAAGAAAACTAAAAATAGAACTATTACATGATCCAACAATCCCACTGTCGGGTGCATATTAAAAAAAAAATCAGTATCTCTAAAAGTTAGCTGCACACTCCTGTTTATTGCAACACTATCCATGATAAATATGCATGATATTTATATATATAAATATATTTTATATGATATTTATATATATAAATATATTTTATATAATATTTATATTATATATTATATATTGTATATTTTATGTATAATGTATAATATATAATATAAATACATGTTTATATTATTCATATTTATATATTTAAATATATTATATAGATAAAAATATATATTACATATAGATGTGTGTGTGTATATATATATATATATATATATATATATATATATATATATATATATATTTGGTCTATTCTTGAAAATGCTCCATGGACTAAGAAAATAAATGTGTATTCTGTAGCTCTCAGATAAAATGTTCTCTAAATAACTATTAGAACTATTTGATATACAGTGCAGATTAAGTCTGATTTTTGTTGTTTTTTTGTCTGGAAGATATGTCTGACGTTCAAACTTGGCTGTTGAAGTCTTCATATATTATTGTATTGGGGCCTATCTCTCTCTTTAACTCTAATAACATTTTCTTTATATATGTTGGTTCTCTTGTCCTTGATGCTGATATGGTTTGGCTGTGTCTCCACCCAAAGTTCATCTTGAATTGTAGCTCCCATAATTCCCATGTGCTTTGGGAGAAACCCAGACATAACTGAATCATGGCAGTGGTTTTCCCCATACTGTTCCCGTGGTAGTGAATAAGTCTCACGAGATCTGATGATTTTATAAGGGAAACACTTTAGGCTTCATTCTCATTTTCTCTTGTCTGGCACCACGTAAGATGTGCCATTCACCTTCCACCTTGACAGTGAGGCCTCCCCAGTTACGTGGAACTGTAATTCCATTAAACTTCTTTTTCTTTATAAATTACCCAGTCGTGGGTATGTCTATATCACCTTTGGTTGATTATCTATTGGTCATTAATGTCCTTTTCTTTCTGGTTGATATACTCCCTTTAGCATTTCTTGTAGGATGCATCTGCTATTGATTAAGACTCTCAGCTTCTGTTTGTCTTGAAGTCTTTATTTCTTTATCAGGTTTGAAAGATATTTTAGCTGAATATACTATTCTAGAGTAAAATTTTTTTTTCTTAAGCACATTTAATATGTCTTGCCAGTCTCTCGTGATCTGGAAGGTTTCCACTGAAAAGTCTACTGCCAGAGGTATTGAAGGTCCATTTTTTTTTCCTCTTGCTGCTCTTAGACCCTTTCTTTATTTGTGACCTTTATGATTTTGATTATTAAATTCCTTGAAGTATTCTTCTTTGGGTTAAACCTGCTTGGTGTTCTGTAACCTTCTTGTACTTCAATATAGATCTCTTTCTCTTGGTTTGGGGAGTTCTCTTTTATTATCTCTTTGAATAAACTTTTACCCCTATCTTTTTCTCTGCCTCCTTTTAAAGGCCAATAACTCTTATATTTCCCTTTTGAGGCTGTGTTCTAAATTCTGTAGACGTGCTTTTTTATTATTTTTTGTTGTCTCCTCTGTGACTCTGTAATTACAAACACTTGGTTTTCAAGCTAACTAATCTTTTCTTCTGCTTGATTTATTCTGCTATTGAAGGACTTTGATGTATTCTTCAGTATGTCAGTTGCATAATTAAAAATAATAAAATAAATAAATAAATAAAATGATACGGCCCCTCACGCATATTAAGACCCAGAACATGCCTAAATGTCCATTTTCTTTTAGACAGAGTCTCGCTCTGTGGCCCAGGCTGGAGTGCAGTGGCGCAATCTCGGCTCACTGCAAGCTCTGCCTCCCGGGTTCACTCCATTCTCCTGCCTCAGCCTCCCCAGTAGCTGGGACTACAGGCGCCCGCCACCACGCCTGGCTAATTTTTTGTATTTTTAGTAGAGACGGGGTTTCACTGTGTTAGCCAGGATAGTCTCGATCTCCAGACCTCGTGATCCACCTGCCTCGGCCTCCCAAAGTGCTGAGATTACAGGCGTGAGCCACCGCGCCCGGCCTCCTGCGTAAATTTTTTAAATTATTTCAAACTCTGTGTTAGATTTATCTGTTTGAACTCTGAACTTTTCTCTGTATTTTCTTGATTTTTAAAAAATGTATTCAATACATCTATTTGAATTTCTTTGTCTGAAAGTTAACCTATCTCTGTTTTTTCAGGGTTGGTCCCTGGTGTGTTATTTACTTTGTTTGGTGTGGTTATGTTTTCCTAGATTGTACTGATGCTACTAGAAGTTCTTCAGTGTCTGGGCATTGAAGAGTTAGGTATTTATTTCATTCTTCACTGTCTGGGCTTATTTGTATTGATCCTTCTTGGGACATTCTTCCAGTTACTTGAAAGGACTTGGGTGTTGTGATCTAAGCTGTTTCTACTCTAAGGGCACCTCAAACCCAGTAATGCTGTGGTTCTCGCAGACTCACAGAGGTACCACCTTGATGGTCTTGGACAAGATCCATGAGAACTCTCTGGATTACCAGACAGAGACTCTTGTTCTATTCCTTTACTTTCTGTCGAACATACAGTCTCTGTCTCTGTTCTGAGCCCCTAAAGGTGGGGATGGAGTAATCCAAGCTTCCCTATGGCTACCACCACTATGATTGTGCTGGCTCAGACCTTTAGCCAGCACAGCACTGGGTCTCACCAAAGGCCAACTGTAACCACTCCCTGGAAACTTCCTATGTTTCCTCAAAGCCTTGGGGCTCTACAATCAGCAGGTGGAAAGGCCAGCCAGGCCTATGTCCTTCCTTATGGGTACTGATGTCTCCCAGGCCCCGGCGGGGGGTCCAAAAGTGACATTAAAGAGTCAGATATTAGTGTCAAAAACCTTAGAAGTCTACCTTTTATTCTATTGTATTGTGGCTGAGCTGAACTCAAATCACATGATGTACTCCTTCCCCATATTCCCTGCCCTTTCCAAAGGCAGAGGAGCCTCACCCCCTTAGCCACAACCACCTCTGGATATGAGGAATACTGCCAGACTACCATCAATGTTCCCTTAAGGTCCAAGGTCTCTTAAGTCAGCTTGTGATAAATGTTGCCTAGCCTGGAACTCACCCCTCAGGGCAACAGGCTCTCCTCTGACCCAGGGGAAGGTCCAGAAATGCCATCTAAAATTCAAGTCCTGGAATCAGGAATGCCCCTGTTTTAGTCAGGGTTCTGTAGAGGGACAGAACTAATAGGATATATATATATATATATATATATATATATATATAGATAGATATAGATATAGATATAGATATATATATATGTAAAGGGGAGTTTATTTAGTATTAACTCACACAATCACAAGGTCCCACAATAGGCCATCTTCAAGCTGAGGAACAAGGAGAGCTAGTCCGAGTCTCAAAAATGAAGAACTTGGAGTCCAATGTTCCAGGGCAGGAAGCATCCAGCACGAGAGAAAGACGTAAGCTGGGAGGCTAGGCCAGTCTAGTGTTTTCACGTTTTTCTGCCTGCTTTATATTCTATCCACACTGGCAGCTGATTAGATTTTGCCCACCCAGATTAAGGATGGGTCTACCTTTCTCCACCCACTGACTCAAATGTTAATCTCCTTTGGCAATACCCTCACACACACACCCAGGATCAACACAAAAGGCAGCCCATTTCCTTCCGGCCCGGGGTGTGTCTAGAAATGTCATCTGGGAGCTAGTGCCTGGAACCCAGTCCTCTCTTTCTGACTGGTCCCCTATTCTGCTGTGGCTGAGCTAGTACCCAAGAGTCAAATCAAAGTTCTCCCCACTCTTCCCTGCCCTCTCAAGTGTAAGGAAAGGGGTCTCTTGGAGCTATGAGCTCTGTCACCTGGGTTTAGGAAATGGGTTATGCCAGTACTCCCTTATCTTCCCCAGCTGGAGTCTCAGCATGTTGCCTAGCCCCCCAGTCAACTGTCTCTGGGCCTGGTTCAGCCCTGGGACTAACAAACTTGTTGCAGCCCTTACGGCCTAGACCGCCTTTCAATTTATCTTAGACACCAAGAGCAATTTGGTTCTAAGTGGTGAGGTTTGCAGGTACTCAGTATGGACTGCTATAATCAGTGACACCCTTCTGGCTAATGCAGTTTTATATACTTCCCCTGTGGGCAGGTGTCAGCTGAGTTTTGTCTGTTTTTTCTTTCTACTCTAACAAGACAGCACTGAGTTCAATGCATCATGATTGCTGTGTTCTTTCTCCCCCAGCACTCAGAGATGGTCTCCACAACATGCTGCTGCTGCCACATATGGGGGAGAGTTGGCATAGGTGATTCAGGACTGTTTTTTCTATTCTTCAGTGCCTCTTTCAGTGATATGGAGTTAAACCCAGGTACTGTAAGTGTTCATTGAATTTTGGTTCATTGGAAAGCATTTTTTTTTTCTATGTAGATAGTTGTTAACATGGCATCCTTGTGAGTGGGAAAATCAGTGGAGCTTTCTATTCGACTATCTTGCTCCACCTCCTGGTAAGACATTCTTAAACACACACACAGAAGAAGACGCAAGTAAATGAAAGGGACATCATGTTCTCCATATAAGGAGACTCACCATGAGAAAGATAGAACAATTACATATTTCCCTACCTTGATATTTAGATTAAATACAATACCAACCAAAATTTCTACAGGCATGTATAAGAACCTGATAAGTCCATTGAAATTTTACATAGAAAATGGTGCTGAGAAGGCTGTATAATCATATACAGAAGAATGAAACTAAATATCTATCACCATGTACAAAAATTTTTTCAAACCGTATTGAATACTTAAATTTAAGACCTCAAACTATGAAACTACTACAAGAAAACTTGGGGGAAATGTTCCAGGACTTTGGTCTAGGCAAAAGTTTCTTGAGTAATAACACACAGGCCGAGGCAGGCAGATCACTGGAGGTCAGGTGTTCGACACCAGCCTGACCAACATGGTGAAACCCCATCTCAACTAAAAACACAAAAATTAGGCAGGCATGGTGGCACATGCCTGTAATCCCAGCTACCTGGGAGGCTGAGGCAGGAGAATCGCTTGAACCTGGGAGGTGGAGGTTGCAGTGAGCCGAGATTGTGCCATTGCACTCCAGCCTGGGTGACAAAAACAAAAACTTTGTCTCGAAAAAATAAAAATAAAAAATAAAAATAACACACGATCACATGCAACCAAAGCACAAATGGACAAAACGTATCACATCAAGTTAAAAAGCTTCTGAACAGCAAAGGAAACACTCAACAAAGTAAATTGACAACACACAGAATGGAAGAAAATATTTGCAAACTACCTATCTGACAAGAAATTAATGACCAGAATATTTTTTAAAGAGCTCAAATATGTTCATAGGAAAAAATCTCATAATCCACTCCAAAAAATGGGTAAAATATTTGAATACTTATTTTTCAAAAGAAGACATTCAAATGGCAGATGTGAAAAGATGCTCGACATCATTAATTATCAGATAAATGTAAATAAAAACTACAATGTAATATCATCTTACCACAGTTAAAATGCCTTTTATCCAAAACACAGACAATAACAAAAGTTGGCAATGATGTGGAGAAAAGGGAACCATCGTATTGTTGGAAATGGAAATTAGTACAACCATTATGGGGAACAGTTTGGTGGTTCCTCAAGGAAACAAAAATTGAGCTAACATATAATCCAGAAATCCCACTGCTGGGTATATACCCACAAGAACTGAAATCAGTATAGCAAAGAGATGTTGACACTCTGTTGTAGCACTACTCACAATAGCCAAGATTCAGGAGCAACCTTGTGTCCATCAACAGATGTTTGAATAAAGAACATGTGGTACACAATGGAGTACTATGCAGCCTTAAAAAAGAATGAGATCCAGTCATTTGCAACAACATGAATGGAACTGGAGGTCATTATGTTAAGTGAAATAAGTCAGGCACAGAAAGACAATCTTCTCATGTCTTCACTTATTTGTCGGAGCTAAAAATTAAAACAGTTAAACCCATGGACATACAGAGTAGAGTGATGGTTACCAGAGGGGGGAAGCATAGTGGGAGCATGTGGGTGAAAACAGAAATTGTTAATAGGTATAAAATAAAAATAGAATGGATGAATAAGATCTAGTGTTTTCTAGTAGAACAGTGTGACTATAGTAAGTAATAATTTAATTGTATATTTTACATTGACTAAAAATATAATTGAATTGTTTGTAATACAAAGGATAAATGCTTGAGGAAATGAATACCCCATTTTATATGATGTGATTATGATGCATTGCATGCCTCTATCAGGGTGTCTCATGTACTCCATTAATATATATACCTACCTACTAGATACCCACAAAAATTAAAAATAAAAAAAAGTACATAGAGACACATTGACCCAAAGATAGTAGAGTTGCCAAGATACTCCCTTAGAAGAAAAAGCTGGGTAGATCTAATATTCAAAATATCAAGAGTTCTCATAAAGCCTTAGTAATTAAAACTGTGTGGTATAATTGTTCTTGCTCCACTGTAACCTTTCTGACTTTTTCTCCCCTTTGCTCACTCCACTCCCACCTATTCTGGCCTCCTTGCGTTGTCATCCCTAATGAACTTTCTTGCTTTACTGTTCCATCTGCCTGAAATGTTGTTTCTTCAGAAATCTGTATGGCTCACCCTCAAATCTCCTTCAGGTCTACACTAAGATAAGTATTTCCTTTTCAATCTTATTTAAATAGCAACCCTGAATCAACCTTGAACTCCCTATCCTCCTTCTCTGCTTAATGTTTTTCATAGCACTTGTCACCATTTGATATTTTACATATTTAAATTATAGATGCCCCCTGACTTACAATGGTTTCACTTAGGATTTTTGTCTTTACAATGGTGCAAAACTGTCAAGCAAATTCAGTAGGAACTATACTTCACATACCCATACAACCACTTTCTTTTCAATTTTAGTACAGTATTCAATAAATTACATGAAATATTCAACATTCTATTACAAAATAGGCTGTGTGTTGAATGATTTTGCCCAAGTATATAGGCTAATGTAAGGGTTCTGAACAGGATGAAGGCAGGCCAGGCTAAACTATACATTTTGTATGTTATGTGTATTAAATGCATGTTCACTTACAATATTTTCAATTAATGGTGAGTTTGTAAAGATGCCATCTCACTGTGAGTTGAGGAGTATCTGTATAACTTTACTGATGCTTTTCCCCACTAGAATATAAACTACAGAAGGTCAGGTATTTTTGTCTCTTTTGTTCATTGGTGGATTCAATCACCTAAAAAGTGTCTGGCACATAGGGGTTACTGAGTATTTGTTGAAGGAGTGAGTGAGTGACTGGACGATATTGGAGCAGAGATTAAGTGAAACAAAAATGACAAAATCCAGACACAAACTCCAAAATATATAAAATTTTGATAGATGACAAAGGTGACACTGAAGATCATTAGGGAAAAACCAAAATTAAATATAATAAATTTTGCTACAACTGTTTATCCATATGAAATAAATGTAAATGGCTCCAAACCACACAGAAAAATCCACTTAAGATATAGGAAATACCTACGTACAAAATGCAAAACTTTAAATATCATTGAATAAAATATAAAATTCTTTTTATAACTTGGGTAGAAAAATTGTTCTAAAGCCAGACCAATAAAAAGAAACAGTATTTTTAAAGGAAAAGTTCACTATGCTAAATTACAATAAAATTGAGAATTGATATTGACTCAAAAAAGAACTAGGAGAAAATTAAAAAATCTAATCACAAATTGAAGTAATATATTTGTCACAAAATCAACAGTTAGTTTCAATAATATATTTAAATAACCTGAAAATTAATTTAAAAACATAACCCAGTTGAAAATAAATGAAAATATGATAACTATTTATGCTTAACATAATTAGAAATTATGGACATGCAAATCTAAAACCATAGCAAGACACCATTTTACATTCTCTGGACTGACAAAAGCTAAGAAGCCGGACAGTTCTGAGTCCTGGTGAAGACTGGTAATCACTTCTCATACGCTGCTGGTGCAAGAAGAAATTTCTATAATCACATTGAAAGGCAACCTGGTCTTATTTTTTAAATTAAATAGGCTCATACTCAACAATCTGGTAATTCTACTAATAAGATATATTGTGCAGAAAGCGTTACACCTATGAAATAAGATATGTATTCATAAAAACATTGTACATTATATCCTATTTCAACGACAATAACAAAAAGTAAACATTAAAAACTACACAAATATCCACTGCCAGAATAAACAAATAGCAGCACCTTTTCAGAATGAAATAATATAGAACAGTGAAAATGAATGAACTGCAGATCACACATCAACAGGGATGAATGATGTTGAATAAAAAAACAATGTTATAAGAGTACACACAGCCGGGCGCGGTGGCTCACGCCTGTAATCCCAGTATTTTGGGAGGCCGAGGCGGGCGGATCACGAGGTCAGGAGATCGAGACCATCCCGGCTAAAAGGGTGAAACCCCGTCTCTACTAAAAATACAAAAAATTAGCCGGGCGTGGTGGTGGGCGCCTGTAGTCCCAGCTACTCGGGAGGCTGAGGCAGGAGAATGGCGTGAACCCGGGAGGCGGAGCTTGCAGTGAGCCGAGATCGCACCACTGCACTCCAGCCTGGGCGACAGAGCGAGACTCCGTCTCAAAAAAAAGAGTACACACAGATTGATAACACGTGATTTAAAACTTAAAAAAATGAAAATTAGCACTATATTACTTACAGATTCATATAAAACATTGTTAGTATTGAACTATTCAAAGGAATAAAAAATTTTCCGAATAGCAGTTGCCTCTGGTAGGGCATTACTATGGAGTAGAACTGTATCGGAGACAGATACCTTAAACACTATTGGTAATTTCTTATTCTGAGATTGGGTAGTGAATTAATGGGTGTTAGTTTTACCATCATGTTTCATAATTTAACTAAGCATAACAAATTCTTTTGTGTGTTTTGAATAGTTTGAAGTGATACGCTTGTTTGATAAAAACGTCTCAAAAACAAGGATTTCTGTTCAGCAAAATATATACACAAAGTTATCATATATTGACAGATTGGGAGACAGTATCTTCAATGCCAAACTCTCATAAGGGACTCAAATATAGACTACACAAGATACTCCTCAAGTTAACAGTAAAAACAAAATGAGAAAAACTAATACAAAAATAGGGAAAATACAAAAAATGAAGTAACAGAAATGAAAAACTAAATATATTATACGAGTAATTAAAGAAAAGCAAATGAAAATGAGCTAACACTTCTGTACTATTGTCAAAATTTTAAAATCTGATAATACCTGATATTGGTGGGTGCCATATACCCATATGTACATGGAAGTACAGCAATTTGGAGAGCAGTCTGGGAGTACTTCACTAAGTATACACATACTTTATGACCTGGTAATTTCCACTCCTGGAATACTACTTCAAAGAAACTCAGAAGCAGAACCATAGGAGGATATGTATAAGGTTATTCATCACAGAGTTGTTTGTGGTACTGGAATCTGGAGGAAACCAAAATGTTCATTATCTAGGAAGCAGATAAACAAAATATGGACATGTACTATGGAATTTTCTGCAGCAGTAGAATCAATAAAATAGATGTCCTCTAGCCACTTGGGTAGATCTTTGAACCATTACGCTGAGTGAAAACCATGGTATCTGTAGCAAAATACCATTTATATAAATTTTTAAAGCACAAAAATCATGTATTCTTGTGAAAGACACAAGATTTTTTTAAAAACCACAATGAATTATCTCATGTTCTTTCTCTTTCTCAGTAATTCTTATTCTTGTGAGTTTTGATTTCAGGAAAAAATTGCTTGCTTTAAACCAAACGATAAGTTACCTATGAAATCCACCTCTTCACAAGAAACGGACTAGTCAATAACATTGTCTGTATTATTAAAGGATGGTGTATAAGCTCCTCTACAGTTGGTACATGGTGTAGGAACAAGGGAGAAAAAACAGGTTGATGCAGGTTTACATTAGAGATCACTGTCCTCAGAAGAGTAAAAGAACAGACTGACTTAGTCAAAACAAAACGATGTGAAGAATCTTCTTGGAAGTTTCAAAGAAACAGTTCATAAAACTTATGATGAAGCAGGTCAATGCAAATTATGCATTGTGTTTTACACGATGTATTTTCAAGTGAAACCCTCCCAATGAATTCTATGAGACAGCAAAGGCAGGAGTGCACACCTGTGTGGCTCTTTTTGGATTTAGTAAGGCTGAAATCATCAGATGCTCTCCATGAAAGTGATTTGTTAACTTCACTAATTGGCCAATATATTAATAATAATTGTATTGTAAAGTCAAAGCTACATTGCACCTTATCTAACAGTTTTGCAAATTACTTTCACCTGTATTATTTATGAAATCTTTAAAAAAACACACACACAAACTTCTAGGTTAGGCAGCTATTATCAGCCCCAGTTTATAGAATTAAAAACTGTATCCCAGAAAAGTTAGCATTTATCTAGTAAATTACAAAAACATCAATTTTCTGACTGGACAGGGAGAAATCTTGGAGGTATTCAATGAGACAGCAGGTATTTGTTCAGTTGTACAAGCATTTTTAAGGCAAAAGGAAGTAGCCGAAATTGAATACATATGGAAAACTGAGCAAAGCATCCCCCAAATGCTCAATTCTAACTTTACTACAACATATTAGAGAATTCAGTAGACTGTGTTGAGTACTTAGAAACTCAGTGAAGTTACCAACTAGTAAAGATAATTGGCAATACATTATCTCCTGTTTTAATATTACCATCACATATCCTGAGTAGGTTCTAAAATATTAAATTAAGAATGATGCTACTCTTCAAGAAGATATGCAAAAATGAAAAAAAAATGTTCTCTTTTGTGTGTAAAATTTCCACTTGGTTCATGTTTTATTCATTAAAATTAGCTAACTATGGCACTCATATATTCTAAAAATATAATTCTAGAAAGCCCTGACAAAGAAATGCTGCCCATACTCAGTAAGTGACTATTTATCATAGATGAAGAGACAGTGCTTATATTTTCTTTAGTAATTCTAGTATAATTAGCTACTCAAAGGGGTTATATGTTTTTCAGAACCATTCCAATGTGTAATTCAAATGTCCTTGTTTTAAAGTTTTTTCCTCACAAATATTTTGAAATATTTATTTAATGGTCTAAATTTACAAATAAATTAACAATTTTTTTTCAAGTTTAGTGACACGCAAGTCTAAGTAGATACATACTTTCTTAGAGGATGCCACAACAAAAGATGTTTCTTTTAACTGGAACACATTTCTATGCTGTGTTATAATTGATACATAAACTGAATAACTCCAAAAACACTGTGCAACAAGTGTCTATTTTTATTTATTTATATTTAATTTTACTTAGCAAAAAGTAGCCTGTCTTTTGATGTCACAGTATTGCTATGATAGTCAGTGAGAAGATCTATTTCTGTTCCACTACATGTAGGTTGTTTAACTTCTGAGTAAGAGTGACTTGATTCTTGAAATGTATTCTAGATTCATTTGAATTTCATTAATTTACAATTCCAAGGGTGTTGTCATTTTAATTATTTGGTTATAGTATAAATTAGAAGGAAGACTACACAGTGCTCATAGCTAGGGAATTGCATTCAGTGATATTTTTCCAATGCTAGTTGATGGTGTCTTTAATATGAAGGAATCAAGATAGTTAAAAAGAAGTGTTCACTTGGCTGGGCATAGTGGCTTATGCCTGTAATCCCAGCACTTTGGGAGGCCGAGGCAGGTGGATCACCTGAGGTCAGGAGTTCGAGACCAGCCTGACCAAATGCAGAAACCCCATCCCTTCTAAAAATACAAAAATTAGCCGAGTATGGTGGCATGTGCCTGTAATCCCAGCTACTCGGGAGGCTGAGACAGGAGAATCGCTTGAACCTGGGAGGCGGAGGTTGCAGTGAGCTGAGATCGCGCCATTGCACTCCAGCCTGGGCAACAAGAGCAAAACTCCATCTCAAAAAAAATAAATAAATAAAATAAAGTGTTCTCTTGATTTACTTGGGCGGAGGGGGAGGACAACACATAGCCTCTAAATTCACCACGAATAGTTTTCTCTATTTGTCCTCATGATAAAGCCCTGAAGAATAAAGGACCATGTAGCCTAATTGTCATTTCTTGACATATTAAAACTTGGGAAGTTTGGATTTCATTCAAGCTGTAACTTTTACAATGTCAGTCCGAATGTTTATTACATAATTTTAAATATGCTTTGTCTAAGATATTCCTCTTTGGAGGAGATGCCTAGATTCTACATAAAATATTCATGATTATAGTGCATGCCAAAAAGAAAGTAGGGTCCAAGTGACAACAAAGGAGACGGAAAAAATTCAAATTATCGAATGAGAATGGGCTACCTCTGGGGCTGCATGAGTCGAAGGGATGTCATTCACACAGATTATCATGTCTCAACAGATTGTTGGGACCAGCTGAATTGCATTCACAAAACCAGCCCAAATTTCTTATCTTCTCATCCCTACCCACTTGCTCCAGGAGAACCTCAGGCTCTGGTTCAAAGTCAAGCATTTCTGGGAATTCCCAGAGAATGTCTCTCATTTTCTCATGAACAAGACCGGGCAGCTATGTACAGCACCATCACTTGCTCTTACTATTGCCATGCTCACTGAGCATTGCTGCCACTGACACTCCCTACACTTTCTTTTTTTTTTTTTTTTTTTTTTTTACACCAGGGCTCTCAGTCTTGTGGCAGGCACTAGACTCCCAAAAATGGTCCCACCGTCTCCTGCTGGTCTCTCCCACTGGTGACCAGAAGCCCTTAAATGATCAAAATTGTCTGGGGAAAATGGAAGAGAATATTCAACTTCCCTTTATATTACATTGTGTTACAGAGGACACAGATCTGATTATTGGAACCAACTTTTGCATTTATATCTATAGGCCTCTCTTTATTTAGGACTCTGACATCAAGCCAAAGGGGATTGGACCCCAAAAAATACTGATTAACAGCTACCAAATTCTCCTTAAAACTATCCCTCTCTTGCAACAACTAAGGCTAAGTAGATCAAGCTTGTTATAACTGTTTCCTCTTCTACTTCCATGTGTTTTCACTCGGAAGGTCCCTCAGCTACCCATGAAAACAGTCTTCTACTAGGCCATTGTACAGTATTTCATACATGTTTAGATAATTAATTCAATTATGGACAATGCTTTAGTCTACACAGGCTGGGAATCCAATAACAAGTTTATATCATACTTTAGAGGTTGCAAAATGTTTTCACACATTCTATCATTTAATCCTCACAACACCCTGCGAAGTAGATCAGGTTTTGCTATGAAGGAAATCAAAATTCAGAATGAAAGAGCTACTTGTTCAAAGTCATGTGTACAGCTTGATAACATTAGGTAACAATAATCATTCCTCTACGAGACTCAGTCTTTTGTTGATTCCGTCTTGTTAGGCGGGCTTATTTCATTTCATTTGAGAAACTGTCTGCTGAGTTAAGGCACCAAAGAGGCACTCGAATAATGTGCTCTTTAGATTATATCTACATACTTGTTATGTTATCTACATGGAAAAGTCCTAGGAGCAGTAATGATCATATCACCTGATGAGACAGATTATGCTTCAGGCAGCTAACCACTCAGGTTTAGCAGGTCAACTTCACACATGGTAATTTTAATAGACGGTTGGGGAGGAAAATGATTTTTACAAATATTTGAATAGAAAAAAAGGGGGGAAAGCAGACAAAAAAAGGACTAGATTATTCTGAGAAGCTTGAGCTATTTATTTCAAGAAGCTTAGACTATTTGAAGAAAGGACATAGATGAATGTGCATAGAGGGCAAGAAGTCTTTCCTGCTTAGAAGAGGAAATGTTTGACCATGTTTGTTGACACAAGCAGCAGCTAGTGGAAAGAAACTGAAGACCCAAAAGATAAAAAAGCGTACAGTACTTAATGGAGCAAAGGCCCAAACAAGGCAGAAGAGAATGGATCAAATGCACATTGTCGTGGGGTCAGCCTGGGAGTAAAGGTATCACAGAAGAGAAAAAAAAAATGCAAAAAAACCCAACTCTAATAGTTGATAGAGTATCAATGGTCTACCAAACCTCAGTTTTTACTTTAATAATTCAATGAATATTTATAAATAAAATGTATTTTTTACATTTTCTTGAGCATCATTATGGAAATATGCAAATAGCTGCAAGTGTGGATTTGGAGTCCAAAGTCCATATATTTTCATCTTTAAAGTTTTTTCTTGTAAAATATACACAAGTAGAAAAGTGGGTAAAACATAAATCTATAGCTCAATGAATCATCACAACTTGACTCCTGCAAAATAAATATTTAGGTTAAAAAGATATATTATTGCCTACTAGCACCTCAGAATTCCCTTTATACCCCTTCTCAGTCACCTATTCTTTAATACATCTTTTTTAATGAATTACTCTTGCCCAACGAAATTTTTGTGTCCTTTTCCCAACATCTCCCCAAACCTCCCCTAACCCCCAGTCTCTCTGGTAACCACCATTATACTCTGTTTTATACTTTCATTTTTTTTTTTTAGATTTCACATATATTAGTGAGGTCATGTGGCATTTGTTTTTCTCTGTCTTATTTATTTCACTTAGCATAATATCCTCCAAGTTCACTTATGTTGTAACAAATAGAAGGATTTTTTAAGACTGAATACTCTCTGTGTGTGTGTGTGTGTGTGTGTGTGTGTGTGTGTGTGTGTGTGTGTGTGTGTTTCATAATATCTTCATCCATTCATCCACTGATGGGCACTTTTGTTGTTTTCATATTTTGGCTACTGTGAATAATGCTGCAGGGAAGATTTGAGGCTAGATATCTCTATGAAGTGCTGATTTCATTTTTGAGGGTATATACACAGCAAAGGATCATATGAAAATTATATTTATATTTTTTGAGGAATCTCTATACTCTCTTCTATAACGGCTGCACCAAACTATATTCCCACCGACAGTGTACAGAGTAATATTTTCTCCACACCCTTGCCAATATTTATCTCTTGTCTTTTTGATAATAGCCACCCTAATCATGTGTGAGGTGATCTCATTGTGGTTCTGAATTTCATTTCCCCAATAATTACTGATATTGAACACATTTTCATATACCTGTTGGTCATTTTTCTGTTTTCTTTGGAAAAATGTTGATTCACGACCTTTGCTCATTTTTTAAATTTCTCTCTTTTATCCCCAATTTGCACTCCTATTTTTCTCTCACCAAAAGTAATCATCATAATGAGCTTAACACGTGATATGGTTTGGCTGTGTCTCCACCCAAATCTCCATCTTGAATTATAGCTCCCATAATTCCCATGTGTTGTGTGAGGGACCTGGTGGGAGATAAATGAATCATGGGGGCAGTTTCCATACTGTTCTTGTGGTAGTAAGTAAGTCTCATAAGATCTGATGGTTTTATAAAGGGTTTCCTCTTTCACCTGGCTCTCATTCTCTTACCTGCCACCATGTAAGACGTACCTTTCACCTTCTGCCATGATTGTGAGGACTCCCCAAGCCACGTGGAACTATGAACCCATTAAACCTCTTTTTCTCGATAAATTACCCAGTCTTGGGTATGTCTTTATCAGTAGCATGAAAACGGACTAATACATCATGCATCTAATTTTTCATATGTGTTCTTATACACTGTTTATTTTTTGTATATGCATATTTTTAATTCATGTTAATGATGCTGGGTTAGAGAGCCCATTCTGTTTCTCACTTTTCTTATTCAATATTTTCCTATATGTGAAATTAGTTCATTATATATAACTGCCACACTCACCGTATTTTACCTAATCTCTCTTAGTAACAGACAATGGGATTGCATCCAATTCTTTCCTACAGCAAATAATAAAATAAAACAGCAATAAAAATATTTGTATATGTCCCTGTATGGATCTGTGTGTAATTCTTCTTGGGATATTCAGCTAAACTACCATCCAAGGATAAGAGTATCTCTATTGTATTTTGACTAATTGCTACCCATTTGCTTTCTAAGAAAGTCTACACCTGCCTACATACTCATCAGCAGAGCACTGAGGGTTCCCTTTTCCCCACAACCTCACAGATACTTGACAAAATCAAGCTCTAGAAATTTTGTTAGTCTATCAGATAAAACATATCTCATTTTTTAAATCTGTATTTCTTCGATTACCGATTAGATTATATCTTCACCAACTCTTTAGCCTTTTGGGTTTCCACTTCAAAATGGCATTTTGTATTATTTGCAAATTTCTCAATCGAGGTTATTGGCTTTTGTCTTGTTGACTTGAAAGAGTTCCTTGAATAATCTATATATTGATCTTTGTTTTAGACATTGCAAGTATCCTCTCTCATTCTGTCACTCTTCTATTAATATTGTCCATGGTATATTACATTAAGGGGAAATCTTAATTTTTGTACAAATAAATTCATCATGTGTTTTACTTGCATTTGGTGCTTTTGGAGTTTTGTTTAGGAACTTGTTCTCCAAACCCAGATAATAAAAATAATTTTCCATATATTCTTCTACTAACTTTATAGTGTTACATTCATTTCATATTCAGGGAATAAATTCATGTGGAATTCTAGTTTATATATGGTGATGAATAGGAAACCAGCTTATTCTTCATATAAGGAGCTAATTTTCCCACTGTAGTTTTCTAAACAATCCTCCTTTACCTGTGATTCATGATTCTCACTTCATTATGTATTAAGCTCCTGTATAAGTGGTATTTCTATTGCATCAGATTCACTTTGAAAGCATAACAGTTTTATTGTTAAAATTGAGAATATACTATGAATTACAATTCGCCAATGTGTAAACTCATAATGATAAATTTAAGCTATCAAAACACATAAGAGGATATATCATATTTCAAAGTTTTGTAGTGGATATGAGAGGAAAAGAAATAGTTTGTCATCCATGGTTCAAACACATGCTTCTCTTCCCTTCCATGGTTTCACCAAAGTGCATTTTGTGGGAGTGAGCCAATAGCCTTTGCTAGTGCCTCATCTTCTAAGGTTTCCTAGATTTTATAAGTGCATTTTCACTCTCCTGGTAGCTAATTTCCAAGCAAACTGAGTGCAAAGTTATTAGCAGTATGTTTCAGTAGGCCTCACTAACAAACTAACACATGAAAGGATGTTAGAAAGAAAAAAAATAGAAAGAGAGTCACATGCTTCTACATATTCAGTGCCTGGAAGAGAAAGATTGCTGCATGGATCTTTTGTGCCCTAATCCACATTTTAAGAATCTTCACAAGGGGAACTACACAAAAGCATTTTACTGCCATTGTTTACATCTTTCTCTCATGGTTTCTGTGAAGGAGAACATTTTAAAGTGTGCATGAAGAATAATTTTATGTGATAATATCAATGATTTTTTATAACTTTAGGCTATACTTATACAAGTCACTAATAATTACTTCTCTCATTTACTATGGTTTCAATTGAAAATATAACAGGTGTTTGAAGAATATGTCCTGAATAAAAATCAAGTTTCAAATAAAAGATATTTGCTCATTAGTCTGGAGGAGGCATGAACAAGTTTTCATTTCTTATACTAAGTGAAAGCCACTGGGAACAGTTCCCCAGATTATTATGTTGAGAAATATTCTGAGTTGGCAGGTAGGTTCAGCAAGAAATAATATAATTTGTAATTAGTAATAACTGTAATAGGCAAAAGAGAGAAGGATGGAAAGAAAATGCCACACATAAGGCTAAATGCTAGAAACCTAGTAGCCTCATATACTTTCATTTTTCCCCATGACTCAAGTCCTTCTTTCCTATGGAATTCTTAATTCCTTAATTCTTTCCTATAGAATTAAAGAGATTATCTTAACTATCTCTGTATATCTAATCTCTACTGCACAAATTTTTTTAACTTGTATTTTAAGTTCCAGGTTCCATGTACAGGTTTGTTATATAGGTAAACTCATGTCATGGGACTTTGTTGTACAGATTATTTTGTCACCCAGTATTAAGCCTAGTACCCATTAGTTACTTTTTCTGATCCTCTCCCTCCTTACACCCTTCACAGGCAAGTAGGCCCCAGTTGCTTTTCTCTTTGTATTCATGTGTTCTCATGACTTAGCTCCTACTTATAAGTAAGAAGATGGGTTATTTAGTTTTCTGTTCCTGTGTAGTGTGCTAAGGATAATGGCCTCCAGCTCCATTTATGTTCCTGCAAAAAAAACCCACATGATTTTGTTCTTTTTTATGACTGCATAGCATTCCATGGTATATGTGCCACATTTTCTTTACTGAGTCTACGATTGATGAGCATTTAGGTTGATTCCATGTCTTTTCTATTGTGGAGAGTGCTGCAATGAACATTCACATGCATATGTCTTTATGATGAAATGATTTTATATTCCTCTAGATATAAAATCAGTAATGAGAGGGCTGGGTTGAATGGTACTTCCGTTTTTATGTCTTTGCAGAATCACCACACTGATTTCCACAATGGTTGAACTAATTTTCACTTCCACCAACAGTGTATAAGGATTGTTTTTCACCACCACCTCTCCAGCACCTATTTTTTGGCTGTTACTCTGACTGGTGTGAGATAGTATCTCATTGTGATTTTGATATACATCTCTCTAATGATCAGTGCTATTGAGCTATCTTTTTATGCTGGTTGGTTGCTTGTGTGTTTTCTTTTGAAAAGTGTTCATGTCCTTTGCTCACTTTTTAATGGTATTGTTTTTGTTCTCGTATATTTAAGTTCCTTATAGATCCTGGATATTCAATCTTTGTCAGATGTACAGTTATGAAGATTTTCTCCCATTCTGTAGGTTGCCTGTTCATTCTGTGGATAGTTTGTTTTGCTATGCAGAAGCTCTTTAGTTTAATTAGATATAATTTGTCAATTTTTGCTTTTGTCGAAATTGCTTTTAGCATCTTTGTCATGAAGTCTTTGACTGTTTCTATGTCTAGGATTGTATTTCCTAGGTTGTCTTCCAGGGTTTCTATAGTTTTGGGTTTTACATTTAAGTCTTTGATCCATCTTGAGTTGATTTTTGTACATGGTATAGAGAAAGGGTTCAGATTCAATCTTCTGCCTATGATTAGCCAGTATTCCAACATTATTTATTGAATATTCCCCATTGCTTGTTTTTGTCAGCTTTGTCAAAGGTCAGATGGCTGTGGGTGTGTGGTCTTATTTCTGGGCTCTTTGTTCTATTCCTTTGGTCTATGTGTTTGTTTTTGTACCAGTACCGTGCTGTCTTAGTTACTATAGCCCTGTACTATAGTTTGAAGTTGGGTAGCTTGATGCCTCCAGCTTTGTTCTTTTTGCTTAGGATTGCCTTGGCTATTTGGGCTTTTTTTTTTTTTTTGTTCCATGTGAATTTTAAAAAAGTGTTTCCTAGTTCTATGAAAAATGTCATTGGTAGTTTGATAGGAATAGCATTGAATGTATAAACTGTTTGGGGCAGTATGTCTGTTTTAACAATATTGATTCTTCCTATCCATGAGCATGGAATGATTTTTCCATTTGTTTCTGTCATTTCTGATTTCTCTGAGCAGTGTCTTGTAGTTCTCCTAATAGAGATCATTCACCCACTTAGTTTGTTGTATTTCTAGGTGTTTTATTCTTGTTGTGGCAATTGTGACTGGGATTGCATTCTTCATTTGGCTCTCAGCTTGGCTGTCACTGGGTTGGTGTATACAACTGCTCGTCATTTTTGTAAACTGACTTTGTATGCTGAGGCTTCACTGAAATTGTTTATCAGCTTAAGGAGCTTTAGGGCCAAAACTATGAAGTTTTCTAGATAAAGAATTATGTCATCTGCAGACAGGGATAGTTTCACTTCCTCTCTTCCTATTGCGACGCCCTTTATTTATTTCTCTTGCCCGATTGCTGTGGCCAGGGCTTCCAATACTATATTGAATAGGAGTATTGAGAGAGGGCATTCTGGTCTTGCACCAGCTTTCAAAGGGAATGCGTCTAGCTTTTACCCATTTAGTATGATGTTGGCTCTGGGTTTGTCATTGATGGCTCTTATTATTTTGAGGTTAGTTTCTTCAATGCCTACTTTGTTTAGAGTTTTAAACATGAAGGGATGTTGAATTTTATTGAGAGTTTTTTCTGCATCTATTGAGATAATCATGTGTTTTTATGTCTTTAATTATGTTTATGTGACGAGTCACATTTACTGATTTGTGTATCAATAAATGATACACTGATTTGTGTATCAATAAATGATATTTGTGATCCTGATGGATAAGCTTTTTGATGTGCTAATAGATTCACTTTGTCAGTATTTTGTTAACGATTTTTGCATTAATATTTATCAAGGATATTAGCCTAAAATTTACTTGTTTCAGTGTGTCTCTGCCAGGTTTTGGTATCAGAAAGATGTTGGCCTCATTGAATGTTTGGAAAGAATCCCTCCACCTCAATTTTTTGCAATAGTTTCAGTAGGAATGATATCAGCTCTTCTTTGTACATCTGGTAGAATTTTTCTGTGAATCTGCCAGGTCTTGGCTTTTTTTGTTTTGTAGCTTATTTATTACTGATTCAATTTTGGAGCTTGTTATTTGTCTGTTCAGAGATTCAATTTCCTCCTTGTTCAGTTTTGGGAGGGTGTATGTATCAAAAAATTATCTATTTCTTCTAGATTTTCTAAACTGTGTGCATAGAGGTGCTCATAATATTATCTGATAATTGTGTGTATTTTAACAAGGTTAGTGGTAATTTCCCCCTTGTCATTTCTGATACTGTTTATTTAGATCTTCTTTCTTTCCTTCTTTATTAGTTTAGGTAGCATTCTATTTTATTATGTTTTTCAAAAAACTAAGTCCTGGATTTGTTGATCTTTTGAATCATTTTTCGTGTCTCTATCTCCTTCCATTCGGCTCTGATTTTGATTATTTCTTGTCTTCTGCTAACTCTGGAGTTGGTTTGCTCTTGGTTCTCTAGTTCTTGCAGCTGTGATGTTAGGTTGTTAAAGAGAGATATTTCTAACTTTTTGATATGGGCATTTAGTGCTATAAACTTTCCTCTTAACACTGCCTTAGCTATGTCCCAGAGATTCTGGTATGTTGTATCTTTGTTCTCCTTAATTTCAAAGAACTTCTTGATTCCTGCCTTAATTTAACTATTTATTCAAAAGTCATTTAGGAGCAGGTTATTTAATTTCCCTGTAATTTTATAGTTTTGAGCGAATTTCTTAGTGTTGATTTCTAATTGCTTTCACTATGGTCCTAGAGAGTGGTAGTTATGATTTCAGTTATTCTACATTTACTGAAGAGTATTCTATGTCTGATTATGTGGTCAATTTTAGACCATATCTACTTAACAACTTTGGATGACTGTCTTGGAGAATATTGATCACCAAATTAGAAAACTTATTTGAGTATTAAATGCATTGCACTCTATTTGGGGCATTTTCTATAGCTTATATGGATGATAGTAGAAAACATATTTTTATTGGTTCACTTCTGCTTATGTACTTTCTGACCATGAAGTCACATGATGTTTGATGTGTGAAGCATTTGGTCATAGCTCCTTGTTATTATAGTATCCAATATTGCATCCATAAACCAAAAGTCAGGGGTTGAATATATGTATTGAGGAGTATTTCTTATTCCAAAAGAATGTAACTCCTTGAGAATTGTATACAACCAGGACTTCAAATCCTGTGTAAATATTGTTAAATAGATTATTTTTCATTCATCCTAACCAATTGAAAATTCTCCATAAACACCAGAGATATTCTACAAGACCTCTTCCAAAGGCATTGAGTTTTTATACAATAAAGTCTTCACTAGGACGTATTCACTCTAGAAGACATCAGATTCTGGAATGATATCTGATCTGATTCCAGCCCCTTTACCAATATACTAGTGCTCCTTAGTAAACCAGATAGAAAAATAATGAGAATAAAATTCAAAAAACTGGGGTTTGCTTACAGAAATGTCTTTATAAGTTCCCCGAAGTCTAATTCAAAACTTCTGATCTACTTCATCTTACTCTGTTTTACCTTTCCAATCTCCACATTTTATTCTAAAACAAAAATAACCCCAACCGTTAGAAGATATATTTATACATTAAAGAAGGAATAGAAAAATGTCTAGTAATAAAGACTTTAAAAGTGACTTTAAAGCACAGAATAAAAGAAAAAACCTCAGGCAAATCTTGTCCAATATAAGCTATTGTATATATTATGTAGCTGAATATCACTTGAGGGCATTTATTGTTTTTAGCAGAGAAGAAGACACATAAAATGGGCTCCCCAAAAGCCACTGGATGAGTAAAAACAACTGTACATTTACATTCATATGCTTTTTTCATTAAATAAACCCACATGTTACACATAAGTGTATCTAAGGAGAGGAAGAATGGGTTATAATATCGGTGTTACCTTTGTAGTATCTGTTTCTCTATCTGTAAAATGAAAGCATTGCATAGTATAATTTCTAAAAGCCCACACAATCTCTCTGGTTCTCCATCTTTTGCTGACATTTATGCTGTATATCAAAATATACATTTCCAGTTATGCTTAAAGTTTCGAAAAAGCAAACTGCACTTTAACTGATTCAAATAAAAAGGGTCCTTGAAATGTAAACATTAGCTGCCATGACATTTCCCAGCACTATTAGAGTTAGGTTATAGGATCTGTACGAAAAATCATAGGACACTAATGATTACTATGCTGGAGTGAAGAGCTATGTGAGATTTTGTACGGTGTAAACTGTTATTTGATTTTTAAAAGCACTGTGGAAATCAACCTGAAACTTTGGACAGATATCCTTGGATCTATGTGCTTAATATTAATTTTCATTCCTAAGCAGCTTGCTACAATGCTGTAGAGCAGTGGCCACTGAAAAGGACCAACATCATGTGCCACAGTCTTTAGAAATTAAAAATATTCCTTGCCTAATACCATTGGATACATGTGAATCAAGAAAACAAAAAGTGTGGATGGATAAGTTGCCTATAAATAATGTCTTAAGCAAAACAAATATCTTATAGGCTATTATACCAAAAGTAGTAATTATTTTATTTCCCTTTAGCCAGTCTTCTTTGTCCATAAGAATTATAAAACATCTCCCAAATATGCTAGTCCCCTAGCTCTCACTAAATTCCAAATCACTCTCTAGATTTCACAAACAAAGCAATCTGCTAATATGGACTGTTTGAGTATTTCAGTAAAGTTAATATGGCACCCAGAGGCCCATGACAACACACAGTTTATCAAGAGTTATTCATCAATGAACATATATGTTGAATACATAAATCTTAATAATCATTTGGAAATGCCATCAGGCCCAGTGGGTGAGTTAGATTAGTTTCAAAGGTTCAGGGCCAAGACAGGCTAAAAGGAGTGTAAGCCTTAGTATGCGTATGCTATAAGACAAGAAAGGCCAGGGGTGGAGGGAGGGGCATGATCCACTCACTCAAATGCAAAATTAAGGTGGATGGGTGGTACCACAACAATCAATTATCAAGATAAAAACTATTTTAATACATTAAAAAAAATAAATTCCAAACATGCTGACCAAAACATAAAACTTGTAAATACAGACATGGCTTAACCCTACGCCATCTTAAATATTGCACCCCAGGTGAGTACTTAACTTTCCTTACCCAGGTTCTAACCCTAAAATCAAGCGTGATAGTTATAAGATTCCTTCCATGCCAGAAAACTGAGTCTCTCATGCTACTGAAGTTTGAGGCAAGTGTTGAAGCCCTTTATTGTATTCTAACATTATCCTATGTAAATATGGTACCTGCAGAATATACTCATTAAAATGCCTCTTGATGAGTATATACATATATATACGTATATACACATATATGACCCTAGAAATTTGAAATTAGCTCTGAACGAGTTCTCATAGCACATATATACATATACATATGTGTCCATATATGCACATATACATGTGTCCATACATGCACATACATGTGCATATATGCACATATATGTGCATATGTGTACATGTGTGTACAGATGTGTACATGTGTGTGCAAATGTGTACATATGTGTACATATGTGTACATGTACATATGTGTGCATATGTGTACATATGCGTACATATGTGTGCATATGCATAGACGTACATGTGTGTGCATATGCATAGACGTACATATGTGTGCATATACGTATATACACATATGCACGTGTACATATGTGTATATATACATATATGTGCATATACGTGCATGTACACATGTACATATATGTACACATGTATACATGTATGCGTACACGTGCATACATGTACGTGGACATATGTGTATATATGCACGTGTGCATGTGTATGTACATATGTGCATATGTATATATGTACACGCATGTACATATATGTATATATGTACAAATGTGTACATATGTGTACATATACATATGTGTATATATGTGTACATATACATATGCGTACATATGTGTTCGTATACATGTGTGCATATGTGTACGTATGTGTACATATACATGTGTGCGTATGTGTACATATGCATATGTGTGCATATGTGTACATGTACGTACATGCGTTCATATACATATATGTACATATGTGTATGTATACATAGACATATATGTACGTGTACATGTGTGTATACATATATACATATATGTACGTGTACACATGTGTGTATACATATATACATATATGTACGTGTACACATACACATGTACACGTACATATATGTGCATGTACACATGTACATATATGTACACATATGTATACATGTACGTGTACACATGTATACATGTACGTGTACACGTGTATGCATGTACGTGTACATATGTGTGTACATGTACGTGTGCATGTGCATATATGTACGTGTGCATGTGCATGTACATATGTGCACATGTATATATGTACATGTATGTGCATATATGTATATATGTACATGTATGTGCATATATGTATATATGTACATGTATGTGCATATATGTATATATGTACATGTACATGTGTGTATATTATATATGTACATATGTGTATATGTATATATGTACATATGTGTGCATATGTATATATGTACATAAGTGTGTATATGTATATGTATATACGTATATACATATACATATATACATATATATACGTGTACATATATGTATATACTCGTTCAGAGCTAATTTCAAATTTCTAGGGTCATTTTTTTTTCAAATACTACTTGTAGAGATTCTGAGAAATAACTTACTCTGAAAGAACTACTAAATTTTCCCAACAGTATTTTGAACAATTATGTGAAAATTAATTTGAAATACTCCATATATATGTGAAACCTTTATGTTTCCAAGAATAATTATGAGGCTGAGGAGCACCGATAAGAGAAAAAGGGTGATCAACTCTACCAATGCTTAATCCTGGATATGGAAGCTTCTACATGCCTAAACAAAAGAAAGAGATGTGAAATAACCACCAAATGGACAAGGTTTAATGACCCTGGATATTGGCATCATTCATGATTTGATTATACTTTAACAAAAGATATCAACTGTGATATCCTTGCATATCTCAAAAGAGTCCATGCTTTCAGACTTCCTACCATTGTTTTTTATTATTAGAATTTTACTTGAGGGGAAGAAAAAAAAAGAGTAACATTGACATGAACTGAACTCTGGTATTTAACACTTAAATTTTAGCAGTCATATGAAATGAACGAAAGTCTGTAGGGCCACCAAAGGTGAGTAATGAATTTTCCCATGATGGGAAAAAGGAAGTCAGGAAAAACATTGGAGACACAATAAATGAACTAAGTTTTCAATGGTGTAGAAGATGTCTAAGGATGAAAGAGTGGGAAAAGCATTTCATGCAGGACAACAAATAAAAAACAGAGCTTACGGTGATGAATAAGGTATCATTCTCAATCTCGATATGTTTGGCTGAGAGACCATAATAAGCAACATGAGGTAAAATATGCAAAGAATTATATGGCAGGTATAGAGAGAATACCATAAAGAGGGAAGAAGGAGGAACAAAGGCTCCCAGAGTGAGGATCAGGAAAAGGATAATGGAAGAGCAAACATCTGAGTTGGGTCCTAAGTGATGATAGAAGGCGAAGGTGCAGAGATGGCAAGGACACTATGGACCACCATGGTAAGAAGCATGCAGGATGTCAAGAGAAGGAAAGAGTTATTTAGAATAGATTAACTAAATGGTGTATTAAAAGAAAATAATAAGAGAAAATGTGAGAACTTTGAGTTGGAACCAGAGAGCTAATGGCAGAAAATCTGGATTTGTATTTTTAGGCAGTGGCTAAATGGGGACATGAATCAATGGTGGTTTTTAACAAGGGCATGAGCACAACTGTGCTTTGTAAGATAAATCAGGTTACAGTGTGTAAACTGAATTGAGGGAAGAAAGACTGAAAGCAAGGATAAAAGAAGAGAGATATTAAAAAGTTCTATTGGGAAATTTTACCTTAATTCAGAACATGATTCTTTAAGACAAATAGAATCTGTATTCAGGCAACTCAGAATTGCAAGAACTACTGGCACAAATATTGTGCCACAAGGAATTCTGGCTCTTGAAGCTACCCTCAACTCACTGCTTTGAGTTGTAGCCATTGTTCTAATATTTAGTTCATTCAGTTGTTTACTGTTTGCATTAATTTCCTTTATTGACTATACTGATTCTTCAGTAAACTTTGTAAAATGCCTAACATTGTTGACATATGGAAGCCAAAATGGTTTCTTTCTCTGTGTGTAACCCTCCAGCTATCTTTCCACCTGTCTCAAATGTGAGAACAACTTTCAAATATTCTCCGTTGGCCTGAGAGGGTCACTATCAAGCTTCTTGGCTAGAGATACAAAAAGCTCTGTGATCTGGCCCTTGATGGATTCCCTCGTTTCAGTTTTCACCACTTTCTGTCTCATGGTTTATGTAACAGCAACACCAAAGCAGATGTTCTCTCTCACAATAAGCTGTTTCTCACCTGGCCCACTGCTCTAATTGTTGTCTTGGCCTGATGGGTTCCACCGTACAACACCCCAATCTTCCTGCACCTGGCTAACTTGGATTCATCTTGGAGCACTTCCTCTGTAAAATCTTGCCATCAGATTTCATGTATTGATATGAACCAGAGTTCAGTTCAGATTTCAGATTTCATGTATTGATAAATACCAGAGTTCAATTCATACAAAAGAGCAGCATTTGTGTGAAGTGAACTCTGGTATTTAACACTTAAATTTTAGCAGTTATCTGTAGTCTGGGAGAGACTGTTCATAATGCCATGAATTAAGCAGACTACGAGCTTGGTTCTGCCTTAGATTAGTAGGAAAGATAAATTGAGTAACAACCGCTGAATTTTTATCTGTTGCCTTCACCTCCGAGCCAATGAGTCAATCCTGCCAATAATCTGTAGTTCTCTCATGAGCAAAGCTTGCTTCATGTCACCTTATACCTTAGAGGACAGTCTTAACCTTCTTATTAAGGTTTCAGCAATAAGAGTAGTATTATTTGTTTATAGTGTGTGTGTGTGTGTGTGTGTGTGTGTGTGTGTATTTTAGGCAATTGGGTTGATTAAACCATTCCAACCTCTGTACTTACACTCCATCGCTGTGACACGCATTTTTCACCTATTGCTAAACATTTTTGTCCTCATTTGTCTTTCCAAACCTTGGCTCCCAATTTGGTGTCTGTAATCACTCACTAAATATGGTCAGGAGTCTATGTTAGTTTAACATAAACAATTTAACAGCAGAAAATTTGGCAAACACAATATTATGCAATAAATGTCTGTATGCCTACTGAGTACTGAGTATTTCATAGGTGTGCAAATATTTGCATGGAATTACATTTACACAAATCCATTCTTATAACAAAACATTTTGTATTTTACTTACAATTTTATGAACATTTATCCCAGTCTTATAAATACTTGCAACTTACCAGACTACATATATTGGTTTACCATTTCACTCCCCAAGTGTCATCAAAACATTCACTTAAGAAAATCCAGAATGGCAGAAAACCCTTAGAAATTTAGTCCAAACATTAAATTTTATATAGAGAGAAATTTAGGTGCAGATAAATGAAGTGCCTTGCCGAAAGTTACACAGCTAGTTAGTGTCAGGTACCAAGTGCAGTGTATCAAAACACACATCTCTCGACTCCCAGTCGAGTAGCCTCTCCACTGTGCTCTACTCATTACTGCCACAAATCAAGCACTGTGCTACCCAAATGGGTCTGAAACCCCTTTCCATGAAATTAGGCAGCAAGTCTTGTTACTGGAAGAAATAATCCTCCAGTGTCACCTCCTCTGGGTAGAATTCACCAGCCCTCACTGTGGTAGTCCCTTATAACAATGTTGTATAATTTTTTTTTTTTTTCGTCTTGAGATGGAGTCTCGCTGTGTCGCCCAGGCTGGAGTGCAGTGGCGTGGCGTGATCTCGGCTCACTGCAAGCTCCGCCTCCCGGGTTCACGCCATTCTCCTGCCTCTGCCTCCCGAGTAGCTGGGACTACAGGCGCCCGCCACCACGCCCAGCTAATTTTTTTTTATTATTATTTTTAGTAGAGATGGGGTTTCACCATGTTAGCCAGGATGGTCTCGATTTCCTCACCTCGTGATCCGTCCGCTGCGGCCTCCCAAAGTGCTGGGATTACAGGCGTGAGCCGCTGCACCCGCCCATAATTTTCTTTCTTTATGCCTTACGCTTTTCTAGTCTAGGAACCCATCATTGCCAGAGACCATGTTTCATGCATTTTATTATAAACAGTATTAAATTCCCCTAGATGCTGTAACAAATTACCACAAACCTGGTGGCTGAAGAGGACAGAATTTTATTATAACATCATTCTGGAGGCCAGAAGCCCATTTCACTGAGACAAAGTCAAGATGTTGGCCAGGCCCTGCTCCCTCCAGAGGTTCTAATGGAGAAGCTCTTTTTTTTTGCCTCTTTCAGTGTCTGGTGGCTGCAAGCATTACTTGGCGTGTAGCTGAATCACTCTGATCTCTGCCTCTATGGTCATATTATATTATCGTTTTCTGTCTGTGTCTAGTTTCCCTCCACCTCTCACTCACAAGGAAACCTGTGATTGCATTTAGGATCCCATCTCAAGATATTCAGTCACATGTATAAAATCTTTTTTTCATATAAGATGACAGATACAAGTTCCAGGGATCATGATATGGATATATTTGGATGGGGGTCATTATGTAGTCTACCACAACTCTTATTTCATAGAAGAGAATATGGATTATAGCACAAAGATTGTGTATTAATATAATTATTTGACTATTTAGCATATTTTTCAACCAAAGTTTGCAGGGTCAAACTTATCCATTAGGTCTTGCCAGTCTCAGAAACTACGGGCACTCAAGATGAAAAGCAGTAAAAGATTCAGGTATCAACTACCTAGATGATGAATTGATTTTGCATCTCACACACAATTAACGTTGGTTATGATAACTGTCTGGAATAATGAACAGTTATTTTCTGCTGATTAAAAAAATATTGCTTGCATATTGTAGAATATTAAGGGGGAAAGAGAAAATATAAACCAAAAAATATTATCTAGAATTCCTTCACCCATAGATAATCACTGTGAACATTATGTTTATTTCTAGTACATTTTATATGTATACATATATATGCATACTTAAATAAATGTTTTGCATTTGATATATGCTATTATAAGTCATAATATTTTATATACATGTATATATACATTTCATTTTTCTTAGATGATTTAAATAATATTATAGGGAACACTGTTGGAACCTATAGTTTCACTAGGCATTATATCATTAGCATTTTCCCATGTCATTAAAAACTCTTTGTAAACATCATTTTAATAGCTGCATAATGGTCCATCATATGGGTGTATCATCATTTACTTTACCACTCCCTTGATTTTATGTAGTTGGGCTGATTGTGAATGACTTTTCACAGTACTGAATACAATGAACACAATGAAAGACACCTATCCAGGTTAATTCAATATTGATGGAATGTGGTAACTTTATTTTCAAAGACTGGGAAATAAGTGCTTTCATAGAGCCACATTTAACAGAGAGTATTTAAATATTGATGTTTGCACTATGTGTTAAGGTGGCTTTGCCCTCCTATCTCATAGTTCACTTACCTATGATCTGTGCTCTGGAACACGTTTGTCAAGAGCCAGAGAACATAGGATGGGAAAAGATACATGGCAAGTGAGGAATCACTTAGAGAAAGACAACCTGAAATACTTAACTGGAGGATAAAGCCCAATCCAGTGCCTGGTATGAGCTAGACAGGTCATGAGAAACCCAGAAGGCAAGTGTGAGTTGCCACTGAGTGGCTCAGTTATCTCAATCAGGCCCAAGAAAAATACAGAAATCTTGAAAGCTGGAGTGACAGTAGGAAGAATAATTGAGGTTAAGGTTTTTATATTTAAAGCATCAGAATAATTCTGTCAGGCAGGGAGATATGGTTTGTGTTTTCTTTTATACACCTTGACTTCTTTTCCCCTGTACCCTCCCCTCCCAGGTCTCAAAGGAATTGGCCAGTATTCCTCGTAACTCAATGTTTAAGAGCCTATTATGTGATAGAACACACACAATTGATTTCATATATATCATCTCTCTTCATCCTTACATCAACCTTGACATAGTATTACTATCCCTATATTACAGATAAAAGCTCAGAAAGGTTAAGCACGCTCCCAAGATCACACAGTCAAAATTTAAATTAAATCCCAGTGTCCTGACTCCCAAAGTGATGTGGTTAATTTCTATCCTCTACTTTTTTGCTTGCCTAGGTTACAGGTTTCCTCTCAAGTTATTATAGTTCTATGATTTTAGTTGGTACCTAAACCAAACACTTCATAAAGGTGTGTCATCAGGTACAAAGAGCTGGTACTTAATTAAACAATACACGATCTGCCTACTGGAAAGACAACTCAAAGCTCATGACTCCTATAAAGTAGTTTTGTCATGGGCCCTCAGGGTTCATTTGTTTCCAATCTCCTCAGCACCTACTTAGGATCTTTAAATACAGAGGACTAACAGAGTGAGTGTTTTTGCTAGCAGTACTCAGGGGTTATTTGAAAGGAAAATGAAATGTAAGAAATAAAATTGGAAATAAAGATATCTTTAAATAATATAAATCAATACTTGAAATATTGGGTAGGAATTCTGAATTTCAGGGCATTAGCAAACACAGAAGCTCATATAAAGCCAGGAAAGATGACTTTTCTCTAAATTTTAAATCATCTTGATGTTCTTCACAACCATTAACCACCAACACATAACATCATATTTAATACCAAACACGATGACACTGATTTTTTATTTTATTGGATTATGTATGATTAAAAGGAATTTGAATTAATTTCCTTTGGCCATGAACCAGTTTTGCCCAGAAACCCCAAAACTTAGCTAAGTTTTTATATTTTCTCTATACTTGAGTTTTTTTCCCACAATATTTATTTTATACAGATATAATTTTAGTTGCTTTCTATATGATATTCCATTATAGTTTAACAAAGACTTTTTAAATATTTCCTAGTTAAATTTGTAGTCATTAAAATCTATGGTCAAGTTGACACTGCTTATAGTACCTCTATGACCCATTTATGTTATTTGATTAGATTATGGTGTTGGGAATGTAAAATGTCAGATTTTTAAAAGCTCATCAGTATTCCTCCAATGCATATAGCCTTTTGCTTTTAGGAACCTTCTTCTAACTACACCAAAAATATGGTTGATATTGTCTTGAACATGTTCATTGACAGGGAACTCATTAAAAATTGAGATGGTCTATTCCATCTTTGGGCACTTGTAATAGAGAAGATCTTCTTTTCTTTATTTTGACCAAAATTCATTCCCCCAAGGCTACCTTTCAGTGGTACTAGTTTTATCACATGGGGCTACAGAGAAAAGTCAAATTCCTCTTTCAATGCTTTTAACATACCGTAATTGTAATATTACAACACTGTGGTACTAATAGAGTAATTGATAATGATAACTTATCATTAGATAGTGCTTATTATAGACCAGGAACTATTCTAAGTGTTTTACATATATTAACATAGCAATACTCACAACAAACCCGTATGTTAGATTCTATTTTTCCCCTGATTTTATAGAGAAGTTCTGACATACAGAGAAAATAAGTTACATGCCAAAGGTCAAACAATTAGTGAGCAGTGAAGCCAGCATTTAAACTCAGGCTGTTGGGCTGATGCCAGTGGACCATATATATGGAAACTGACTTATGCTATACTAAGTTATGTGTGGTGTGTTGTACATCGTCATGCATTCTTAATAAAGATGTTAGACCCAAAATCAACATTAATAAACAAAAGAAAATATAGGTAAGTATATATTTCTGATCTACCTCCACCAGCACAATTCTTAGAATCTTGATTAGATCCTGGGAGGAGAGATTAAAATATCCATCTCTGGATAAATGACTTATAGGTAGTGGCATGTGGATATCTACCACACTGAAGTCCACCAGTCAATGTATTGCTCTGCATTTCCACATGTACATTTAGTGTCTTGTTCTTAAATATGCAGACAGCAAAGAGACAACAGACATTTGAGAAAATTCTCCAACAGAAAGATGGAGATTAAATAATCATAAGAAAATACAGAAATAAGAAACACAATTTATTAATGATCTCATTAGATTCTCAGGTAAAGAAGACAAAATATTAATTTCCTCAAGTACAACAGTATACTACTAAAAAAGGAGCATTCTAGAATTATGAAAGTGGTCTTAGAAAATAAAATGACTCAAAATATTTAAAAAAAATCTCAGTAGAAACTTTCATCTTGCAGTACCCTTCTTATGTCCCTCAATACTGCAGCCACATTGATCTTTTATACTTCAAGTGAATTCCTGCCCTTGGACTTTTGTAATCTTTATTTGCTGCCCTGTAATAACTTTTCTCTGCTCTTGAAATAGTTGGCTTCTTTTTGTAATTTAACTCCCAGGGTAAAAACTATGTCCTTAGGCTTCTCCAGTCTGTTTATTTATAATTGTATCTTTTTATCCTCATCACTCCGTTTTTAAAAAAATTCAGCCTGTATTTTAGATACAGGGTTACATACGTAGGTTTGTTAAATGGGAATATTGCATGATGCCAACATTTGGGGTATGGATCTTGTCACCTAGGTAGTAAGTATAATGCCTGATAGGTAATTTTTCACCCCCTCCACTGCAGTAGTCTGCAAGATCTAATTATTCCCATATTTATGTCCATGTAGGATTAGGGTTTAGCTCCCACTTATAAGTTAGAACATACAGTGTTTGTTAGGTTTCCTGTTTCTGCATTAATTGGCTTAGGCTTATGGCCTCCAATTCCATTCATGTTGCCACAAATAACATGACTTCATGACTTCATTCTTTTTTATGACTGTGTGCTATTCCATGGTGTATATGATCCACATTTTCTTTATGCAATCTTCCATTGATGGGCACCTGAGTTGATTCCATGTCTTTGCCATTGTGAATAAGACAACGATGAACACATGTGTGTATATTTTTAGTAGAATGATTTATTTGCCTTTTGGCATATACCCAGTAAAGGGATTGCTGGGTCAAATGATAATGTGAAATGAAAATAAATCTTGGGACCTCAAAATCACTAAGCTAAAGGGAAAAGTGAACCTGGGAACTGCTTAGGGCAAACCTGCCTCCCATTCTACTAAGTCACCCCTCTGCTCACTGAGATAAATGCATATCTGATTGCCTCTTTTGGAAAGGCTAATCAGAATCTCAAAAGAATGCAACCCTTTGTCTCTCATGTACCTATGACCTGGAAACCCCCTCCCGACTTCGAGTTGCCCCGCCTTTCCAGACCAAACCAACGTTCATCTTACATATATTGATTGGTGTCTCATGTCTTCCTAAAATGTATAAAACCAAGCTGTGCCTTAACCACCTGGAACACATGTCATCAGGACTTCCTGACACTGTGTCACAGGCATGTTCTTAACCTTGGCAAAAAAAAAAAAAAAAACTTTCTAAATTGACTGGGACTTGTCTCAGATATATGGGGTTCGCATTTTGGTAACCACAAAGCGACTTTGCATGGAGGTGCCCCTGACCTTTGACAAATCGCCTATTAGTGCCTGCTACCAGCTTGAGCTATCTTTATGGTTCATACCAATAGGACAATTTGCTGAGGCCTGGAAGCACTCACTCCAGAGAATCCCTGATCTCCCCGGATCTGGTAGAGATCTAAAGTTTATTTTGCTGTACAACTCCTTTTTTGGAGTTTAACTTGCTTCCAAGAAGGAAGACAAGTTTTCCTCCTTCTCTGATGATGAAAGGCAGATAACTCCTTTCTGGAGTCTGAGCTAGCTTCCAACCAGGAAGACAAATTTGAGTTTTTTCCTGCTTCTAAGGTGGTAGAGAGCAGTCTTAAGCCTGAGACCTATTCCTAGGTAAGTAGCTGAATTGGGGTTTTGTCTTAGCCAAAGTTAAGATTAACAACCAGCTGGTCTTAATTTCTCCTTACCATTAGAGCACTCAGTGACCATATCATATTGCTGGGGTTTTTGTTTGTTCGTTCCAGTCTTTCTCCTGTCAGATTTGACCAACACTATCTGACCCTACCTGACGTGGTCAAATCCAAATGAGAATTCCAAATTATGAGTAACAAGGCCTCTCTGCATTGGCTAAAATTTCTTGCATCTGCAAAAGTGGTGGGTGAAACATGTGCTTGGTCTGTGTGGTTGCTTCCTGTCTTAAAGAAACAATTGTTCTTTCACGTACTTTTCTTCTATCCTATACCTCCTTCCCCCTTCGCCATCTTCAGTACTAAGAAAAATTTAGAGAAGGCTTCTAATGACTCAAACCCCTTAAGGAACTCAGAACAAAGGCACTGCTCACTCCTTTTGGGGGTGTCGTGTTTTCTTTGTGAAGTTTCAAGAGTCATGGGCACATTCTTCATAGGTCTAAAGCTATGCTTTCTTGTATTGCATTACCTGACCTCTTCGGCTTTGGGGATATCAGAGATTACCTTGTACTGTGAGAGGATTTGACCTTGGCATGTGTAATGGTAGATGAGAGCTTCAAAGTTAGGGGTGGCTGAGGACAGTTTACAGGAAGTGGTCTTGAGTTTTGGCTGCTTTTTTTTTTTTTTCTCTCCTAGGAACTCGTTGCTTAAGGATCCTACTTCTAGTCCCAAGATGCTTCCAAAAGGGTCTTCTCCATTGCTTTTTCTCCCAAAATTAAACTCAGTTTGGCTTATCTGTGCACATTTGTGTGAGGAACTGAACTGTTGTTTTCATAGATAAATGAGAGACTGAGCTTCCTCAGCTCCAAAGAGAAAGGGAATTTTGCTCCTTCCAGTTGAGTGGCACCCCGTGTGACCAGGGGACTCATGGGAGTCTCTGGGAGGTTGACCCCCTGTGATGTGTAGCAGCCCTACAGGGAACCCCCAACAAAATTAGTTTTAGAAAGGTTTGTCCAGAAGGAACACACGGGAGCTGGTCACTCTGTGCTTTGAGCCCTCCTAGAGGTGCTTAGACATCCGGACAAGGAAACTGAGACAGGTAAGAAGGTGCTCAGTGGTGACACTATGAAGTCCCAACCACAACCAGCACACATTACTACCCACTCCACAAAAACCCTAGGCCACAGTTCAGTTCCTCCTTTTCAGTAAAAAAAAAAAAAAAAAAAAAAAAAAAAAAAAAAAAAAAGGGGAAAAAAAGTGGGAAACAAATAATCTAAGAATGAGGAGAAAACATGAAGAATAACCCCTTTTTGGGAACTTTACTGGTTTTATGGTGCTTCTACTTGCTAGAGTTTGTTAAAAATAAAAATATTATTGTCTTCGTGCACATTTACATCAAAGAAAAAGTCCTATGGTTGACCTGCAAACTATAGAGTACCTAAGTTCCCTTTTTCTCTATTTTCTTTTATGCCTGCTTTAAAGCTGCTGTAAATTTTCTACTAAGATAAAAACCACTGTTTGGATCGGACCATTATTTTGTTTTGTTTTTTGTTTTTGCAAGCCAGTAAATTTTTATTAATATCTCAGGGCTAGAGTTCTGAAGTAAAAGTTAGAGAACCTTTTGTGTGTGTGTGTGTGTGTGTGTGTGTGTGTGTGTGTGCGTGCGTGTGTGTGTAAATATGCATATATACATATATATTTAAAGGGCCTTTATGATAGATTTCTGTAATTTTATGTTTACTGGCAATTAAATCAGTTTTAATTTCCCTGTAGCACACCAGACATTTTCTCTCTGTACTCTGAGATGTAAATTTTGCTATATAATTTTTTACCTAAGAGTTGTTTCCTTCAATGTGCAAATTTAGGGCTATTTAGCTGACAATCGCCTAGGGTAACAAAACAGGCTATTAAGAATTTGAAAGTCTAAAATTAAAAAACGAGGTCTTGTCAATCAATAAGATTTACTTCTATCAGCATATCTAATAGATCTATGTAGGTATGTGTTGTGCACACAATGTTTCACTACTAAAAATATATAAAAGAGCTCTAATTAATTGGCTTAAGAAAAATAAAAGTGGTTAAATCAAATAGTTTATCAGAAAAAAAGAGTAGTCAAATGCTTTAAGTTTATGTGACTTATGTAAAATCTTTAATAAATAAGCTAGCTTTAAAATTATTGGTGAAGTACTGTTAGAAATGTCTTAAGAATTTCCAGCATACATTTTGTTTGCATTTATTGATCAAGCAATTTTGTACTTTTCCCTTAAATATTATAAGGTGTCACAATTTGTCATGAGGGTTATAAAACTATAAACCTAGCCCCAAACAGAATAAGCTTTGCTTGTGTAATTTTTGATAAATAAGACATTAATTATGCTTTAATGAAAATAGCTAAATCTGGAATTATTTAGTAAAAGAGTCATATATTTAATCTTAAGGTTCTTACTTAGGTAAACACCTGAAATTTATAGACTATAAAATGGTTGACAGGGAAATAGCTGTAATCGCCCAACAGGTTCACCTCATCTGCTATCTAGACAGAGCTTACGTATCAAGACAGGGAAATTGCAATAGAGAAAGAGCTAGCTGTGCAGCAGACCAGAGTTTTATTACTACTCAAACCAATGTCCCTGAAAATGTGGGGATCAGAGTTTTTAAGGATAATTTGGTGGTTAGGGAGCCAATGAGTCGGAAGTTCTGATTGGTTGGGTCAGAGATAAAATCATAGGAAGTCGAAGCTGTCCTCTTGTGCTGAGTCAGTTCCTGGGTGGGGGCTACAAGACTAGATGAGATGTTTATCCATCTGAGTTGCCAGCTAACTCATGAAGTGCAGAGTCTGCAAAATATCTCAAGCACTGATCTTACATTTTACAGTAGTGATGCTATCCCCAGGAGCAATTCGGGAAGATTTAGAATCTTGCAGCCTCCAGCTGCGTGACTCCTAAACCATAATTTCTAATCTTGTGGTTTTAGGCAGGAAGAAGGTTTGTTTTGGGAAAGGACTGTTTTCATCTTTGTTTCACAGTAAAACCGTAAACCGAGGTCCTCCAGAAGTTAGTTCGGCCTATGCCCAGGAATGAACAAAGATAGCTTGGAGATTAGAAACAAGACGGTGTCTGTTAGGTCAGATTTCTTTCACTGTCTCAGTTATAATTTTGCAATGGCAGTTTTATAACTTTAAATAATGACTATAAGTGTTTTCATAAATAATCTAGGTAAACTATTAAAATAAAATCGGTAAATATAATGGGTTAAATATGTGTAGACAAATTTGTTATAATTTAATCTAAAGTTAAATTAAATAATGGAGATTTCATTTATTAGATATTTTCAATAAAATATTGTAAGAAAACCTTCTTCCTAAAAAAAGTGTCTCTTTCTTAAAACATGAATAATTTTTGTCTAATTCAAAGCTTATTTATAATTTATGTATAAAACAAGGTAAAACGAACCAGGAAATAAGAGAGATTTAACGAAAGTTACAGAAATAAAAAGGTATTGTTTGGTAAGAAAGCTTAAAGCAAAAAATATATATGAGAAAGAATCTCAGATGGTAAATTTGGTTCTAGGATAAAATAACTGGTTGTTTAAGGGATAGCATTAGGAAAAATACCTAATGTAAATGACGAGTTGATGGGTGCAGCAAACCAACATGGCACGTGTATACCTATGTATCAAACCTGCACGTTGTGCACTTGTACCCTAGAACTTAAAGTATAATAAAAAATAAATAAACAAACAAACAAATAAATAAATGAAAGAAACAGGGATGTTCAGGACAAACCAGAAATTCCAAGCACACCATGAATGATCTAAGTCATAGTAAGAAAATTTATGAAAGAAAAAAAAACCTTTTATATGATCAAGTTGTCTATAATTAAAGAGAAATTATAATGGTCCTTCCAGAAATTGGGTTTTGATTTAAAAAACACTAAAGAATTTGTTCAAAATATTTCAAAATATGAAATTTTCTTAAGGTATTGCTTTACTCTTTTTTTTTTTTTTTTTTTTTGAGACGGAGTCTCGCTCTGTCGCCCAGGCTGGAGTGCAGTGGCACAGTCTCGGCTCACTGCAAGCTCCGCCTCCCGGGTTCCTGCCATTCTCCTGCCTCAGCCTCCCGAGTAGCTGGGACTACAGGCGCCCGCCACCACGCCCGGCTGATTTTTTGTGTTTTTTAGTAGAGACGGGGTTTCACCGTGTTAGCCAGGATGGTCTCGATCTCCTGACCTCGTGATCCGCCCACCTCGGCCTCCCAAAGTGCTGGGATTATAGGCGTGAGCCACCGCGCCTGGCCGCTTTACTCTTAATAAATTACAAAAACATTATAATTGTTTCTTATGCACATTTCAACTTTTATTGCCTCTTATGGTTTTCAGCTTTCTCTCCCCCTTTTAAAAGTCCTGAAATAATAACTCTATCCTTCAACTCATTCTCATTTTCAGCCTCTGTAAGTCTTATTTTTTTTTCCTTCAGGTTCTAATGGTTGTGGCTTGATTTAAAAAAAAAAGAAGTTAGATCTTAAAGGTCTAAGAGGAAATGTTTTCTTGCAACATAATATTCCCCATAGGGGACAGCAGTCACGCTGCAGAAGGCCTTTTCTTTTGCCCCTGGGTAGCTGGCCTAATAAACAGACCTTACACTCTCTTGAAATAATTTCTATGACATTATTACTAAGTTTGGTTTGCTTAGAAAAATCTGAGATAATTTTTGAAATTAAGATTATTACATCCGTGTAACATAATGTACGTGCTTTCAAAGTCCTCGTGCCTTAAGTTACAGGGCTTTGACTCCTGAGTCAAAAAAGGACACCAAGTTCCTGCTAAATCTTAACAATGACAGCAGTTACAGCCTCATCTTCAGATACAGTAAAAGATGCCAATCAAAATAAACAGTGTTCATGAGACACAGGGCCAGAAATTAAAACTATTCAACTCCTCAAGGCCCACGGTCTATCATGGAAGAGATGGGTGTGTCAGATGGTAAGGGCTGATTTTGAGAGAGAAAATAAGTTTAGTTTCTCTATAAATTAATCATCAATGTCAAAGGCACACTGATGCAAGCCCAGCATATGGGCCCCTGTGTCAGATTAACAAGGTTTTCTTGAAGCATTACCCCACTCCTTAATAAGGGTTATAAAGGTTATAAGAAGGCTTATGGAAATTATATCTTATGGTCAAGATTATTACAATTATATAGTTTATAAAATTTTGAAAAACGAGATTAATTGACCTCATGCTATTATTAGGGCTTACTATTTGGAAAATAAAGTCTCCTGTCTCAAAGAAGAAAGATTTGCACCTTTTTTTTTTTTGAAGTCTTTGAGTTATCACTTTGACTAAATGAATGACTTATTTTACAATGACCTGTGATTTGATTTTGTGATATCGAGTGTTTTAATATTTATATATTTGACAAACTCCAAAGTCAAATTCTAACTTCGATTTTCATTAATTTTTTGATATTAATTCCCTGATGCCCAAAAAGAGACATATTTGGCTTAATTTGATATAATAAAATCATACAGAAAGTATCATCAAATATGAAAGTATTTAACCTTCTTTGGATTATATTTATATAAATGTGTCATTAGTATGTGTTCCAGAATTGTATGATGTTCCTGTAATTCTGATACGTTTTAGCATATGTTATCAGTAGTGATTAAGATTATTATGTAAAATTTCTGTCTATCAGATAAGTAACCAAGTTTCCTTGGCAATTGTGTTTTTAGCTATGACTGTCCTAAGACTTTTGTTATCCACAGTTGTTTTACTTTTATCCTTTTCAAAAGGTGGTTTTATAATCAGCATAGGACTCTGACAGGTGCTCTGGAATGGAGGTTTTGAAGATTGTGCCACTAGAATAGAGAAAAAATTTCCAAGCCTCCCTTGGAGAGCTGCAATGTTCATAAGCATGAAGCAGAACAGGAGTTAGTTCATCGACTAAACTAACAGAAGACTGAAATAATCATTTCATAACTTTTTTGCTTAAAATGTTACTGATCCTTTCTTTTTCAGAGCCAAGAAAACTCAATTTGAGCTACTTACAGGTTTTAACAATTGAGTAAAGTATACTCCTATAAACAATATTTGGAGCATATTTCTTTCTATCTGATTTCTTGAAAATTTGGAAAAAGAGTTGTGAGTATTCTTAACTTATGGCAAAATAGCTATTTGCATAAGTGCAATAAGAATTTTTTTTTTTTTTGTAAGAGGACACAATCGGATACACTGTTTTGTTTTGTTCTGTTTACCGAGGTTTTGACTGGAATGGCATGCTATCAGATGCAGACCCCTTTAAAGAATCAAAGTTGACTTATAGAGTTAATAAAAGCCCCTTGGGAAAGCTGGCCTCATATCTTGTCTACACAGTTCCTGTACAGGTTCCTGACCTGTGGTAGGTAAAGAATGTAACTTTCCGACAGGTCCAGGAGCCCCATGTTTTCTTAGGACCTAGAGGTGAGGAATTCATCCAATGAATACGAGTATTTGCAGGAACAGTCTGGACTTAAGGCATGAAAGTCAAATCCGAGATTGTTTATGGAATAAAGTTACAAGAAAGCCAATTTAAAACAGGAGACTATATGGCAAATAATTATTCTTTGTGACTTTGTGCAAATACTCTGGCCAAGTATAATAAAACTAAAACTTATTTTGCAAATGAATTTGTCCTATGATTTGTCTTTAATAAAATGGGACTAAAGAGAGAGAATTTGTATTTCTAAATAAACTACAGTACACCTGTTGTTAGACTTTAGTCTTGCCTAATGTTTTTCAATATTTATTATTTTCTCTAGTTTGGACAGAATTCTAAAATTTTTTCTGACTACCAGTCTCCAAAATAATGTTTCTTTCCTTTTCTTCTTTTCCTTTTTTTCTCCATTTTTCCTGATTTAAAATCACTAAAATTTAAGCTGTGCTTTTCTTAAAGCCCTGTGAACCAAAGCTAGACAAATTAAATTTCAGAATAACACTAACCTATTTATATACATAAGCCACTTTCATACCTGCTTACTGATGTATGAACTTCAGAGTCATATGGTCTATATAGATTTTCCAGGATTGTTCTTTTGTTTGTTATTTTTATCCCCTGCTTCCCCTATTTTCTCTTTGTAAGACATAAGACTTCACAATCTGCTCATTTATTTAAAATGAGCTTTCCTAATAACGTGGGACCTACCCATCTAGGAAAAAACCATCCTAGCCATGAGAGATCAGACAAAACCTGAGACCAGAGACTCAGTTTTTTTCTAAAATACTTTCTCTAAAACATTTTAAAAAGAAAAGGGGAAAAATGTGAAAGGAAAATAAGTCTTGGGACCCCAAAATCACTAAGCTAAAGGGAAAAGTCAAGCCTGGGAACTGCTTAGGGCAAACCTGCCTCCCATTCTGCTTAAAGTCATTTCTCTGCTCACTGAGATAAATGCACATCTGATTGCCTCCTTTGGAAAGTCTAATCAAAAACTCAAAAGAATGCAACGCTTTGTCTCCCACGTATCTATGACCTGGAAACCCTCTCCCCACTTTCAACTGTCCCACCTTTCCGAACCAAACCAATGACATCTTACATATATTGATTGATGTCTCATGTCTCCCTAAAATGTATAAAACCAAACTGTGCCCCAACCACCTGGGACACATGTCAGCAGGACCTCCTGAGCCTGTCACAGGCATGTTCTTAATCTTGGCAAAATAAACTCTCTAAATGGACTGGGGCCTGTCTCAGATATTTGGGGTTCACAATAGTCTGTTGTAAGTTTTTTGAGAAATCACCGGACTGCATTCCATAGCGGCTGGACTAATTTACATACCCACCAACAATGAATAAGTATACCCTTTCCTTTGCAGCCTCACCAGCATCTGTTGTTTTTGCCTTTTTAATAATAGTCATTCTGCCTTGTGTGAAATGGTATCTCATTGTGGTTTTGATTTGCATTTCACTGGGGATTAGTGATGATGAACTTTTTTTAATGTTTGTTGGCCACTTGGATGTCTTCTTTTGAGAGGTGTGTGTTCATGTCCATTGTCTATTTTTTTAAAGGAGTTTTTTTGCTTGTTGATTTAAGTGTCCTATAGATTCTAAATATTAGGCCTTTTTCAGATTCATAGTTTGCAAATTTCTTCTCCTCTTCTGTAGGTTGTCGTTTACTTTGTTGATAGCTTTTTTTGCAATGCAGAAACTCTTGTTTAATTAGGTTCCACTTATCTATTTTTGTTTTACTTGCAATCACTTTTGGGGACATAGCCCAGAATCCTTTGCCAAGAGTTATGTTGAGAAGAGTATTTCATAGACTGTTCCAGGATTTTAATAATTTGAGGGCTTACATTTAAATCTCTGATCCATTTATAGTTGATTTTGTATATGGTGCAGTGTGGGGATTGAGATTCAATCTTCTGCATATGGCTAGCCAGTTATCCCAGAACTATTTATTGAATAGAGAGTACTTTTCCCATTGTTTGTTTTAATCAGGGTTTAGCATATATTTACTGATATGGATTAGGGCCTCAATAAAGACATTTCATAGAAGGTCTTAAAACATAACTGTTTCCTGATTAATTTTCAATCTTCTTTCTCTGTTATTTTCTAAGAAAAAAAGGAAAAAAAAAAACACCAGTTGTTTTCAAGCATAAATCACAAGTACATGACTTGCATATGCATAAATATGTGAAAAGTAATATAAAAAAGATTATTTTAATTTGCAATTTGACAGTCTATACCCATCTCAATTAAAGCAGCATAGCTGCTCTGCAAGTCCTGGCTACAACCTGATGAGATACTTCTTCCTAATAATCAAGGACTCCTACCTCTAATCAACAGAAAATACCATAGACAGCATGCTGCTCTTTTGCCCTCTTTACCTATAGTTCTGTGTAAGGGACAGTGCAGCAAGAGACAAAGCAGCAGGAAATTAGGATTATATCTATATCTATATCTATGTTTAGCTATTTATATATATACATATACATATATAAATGTATAGCATGTAGTCTATATGTATTTTGATATTGCATATCTATATAAATGTGTACATTGTACATATAGATATATGTATATTTTATATCTATATTATGAATGATAGATATAGACATAATCATAAAATAAAACGTGTTTTTCTCTGGCCATAGGTAGAAAGGAAAAGGCAGACTCTGATTTTGGTGAATCTAGTGAACACGCAGACAATGTAGGATCTGCTGTAGTTGAAAGCCTAGCTTTCTGGAGCCTATCCCTAGTCAGAGAAGGCTAAAGAAACTTGCTGTCTAACAGAAGGCTCTGCAATGTCAGAAATGTTCTACATCTGCACTGTACAATAATTAGGGTATCTCCTAGTCACATGTGCCTATTGACTACTTGAAATGTGTCTAGTTTGACTACACAGCTGAATTTTAATGTTAATTCAATATAGCTTCATAAAAAGAAAGCAAAATCACCTCCATACTTGCAGAGGGTGATAGGGAGACTTCTATCTTCAGGCTAAATGTGGTCTGAGAGTCAGCTGGATGATGATAAAAGGCAGTCTCTTAAGAGAAATGGTGATGGGACTAAGAAAAGAACCCCAGGCATAGAGTCAATAGACCTGGATCTCAGTCTCAGTCCTGAGAATGGCAAAACTGCATTAGCTGGGGGAATCTCTTTCTTCTTTGGACCCTGTTTCCACTCAGGCAAATTGAGTGGAACTGAATTACTTTTTTAACAGTGAATTCAGAAGGGATCTGATGTAATCACTATTGTACAACCAGCATAGCAATCCATTTTTTGACGAGTAGTTTAAAAAAAAAAAAAAAACTGTAGAGAAAGAAAGCCTAAATGTAGGTAGAAAAAGATGCTGCAGCAGAAACATTCATGGAAAAATCAAGTAATGTTGCAAATAATGGTCACTTTGTTTATAGCTACTCAAAGAAAGCATACCGTGGCTCAAATCTTGCACTCTAAGCTGAATATAATTTGTTCTGTTTTAATTCTTACAACTACTCTATGACCTGGAGTATCATCATTGTACCCATTTTACAGAAAAGAAAACTGAGGCTCTGATATATTAGGCAAGTTGACTAAGGTCATACAATTAAGAAGCAGTGAAACTAGGATATGATCTCAAGATTGTATTTCTACTATGATCTTTTTGTACTTAGTATCTGCTACTTATAATGCTTATTATATAACAGGTATAATAGTAGCCAATTTCTGTATAATTATCTTATTTACAAGAGCTCTGCCAACACTTTTGTAGAAACCAGCCCAAGAACTCGCCAACTCCATGCCTTGAGAGCTCCCGACCTGTAGGAGGGATGCTTGCTAAGATTGCTTGGGATCAGAGAACACAGGTCTTGGAAGGATCTTCATATTATGGGCCTTATGGGTCTTTCTCTGCACCTATCAAATGTTCTATTTTTCTTTAATCTCACTCAGTTCCACTTACATGAATTTATCCTTCAATATCATCTTGATAAAAGTCTTGACTTGCAGTGATTCAGATCATTTCCCACTGCATAAAAAAGCAATTTTCAAGTGCCATAAAATATTCTTCAGGAGCAATGGATTTTAATGTTGAAAATCATCTGAGATTCTGAATAGCAGAGAAAAAGTGGACAGATGGTACAACTGTCACTTAACTGAAACAAAATGATTATATCTACAATTTAGATGGCATAGCATGCCCCATCTGAGAAAGAGTGACAGTACCACCTCCATACTATTTTGCTTCTTCATAGCTGATCTGAAAGAGAAGACCGGTTAAAGCAATTGGACACATCAACTTGATTTTCCGGAAATCACCCTGGGAGAGGACACACTTAATCCTGATTTCAAAGAAGAAATGCCAGGGCAAAGCCAAAACTCCGAATCCTATGGCAAAAGTGGTGAGAATTTTACAATAGAAACCGTAATTATTTTTTCTAAAAGTCAAACTGGTTGAAGAATCTTAAGACATTGCAGTCTTAAGACAATGCAGTCAGTTGATTGCAATTATTTTGCGAACAGATAAATTCAAAATATTATTGTAACTCTTTTTTTTCTCTCTCTCTTCTCATCAAGGTAGAATCTGTACATTACCCTGAGATAGGCCAGACTTCCCCTTCCCACCGACACTACTGCCGAATGCCCCTATGCGGGAAGCTTTTCAACCAGCTCTGCTAATCCTATGGTTGAGGCACGAGTCATTGACAAACTTACCTGATCAAGAGAGTTGACATTAAATCTGTTATAGACTTTATACCTCTCTATTGGCTTGTTTCCATAAATATGATTTACTGAAGAGTTTCAGGTTTACTTTTAAAGTCACACTATATACATTACATTAATCAGCTTCATGTTTACATCCCACAGACATGTGTTGAGTACCTATCAACAGAGCATGGCCTTTCTGGATTTGAGGGATATTAAGAGGAAAAGTACCACATCCTTCTCTAAAATAAAACAGAGTTTATGAAAATGACAGGAATCATCATGGTGACCTCTGAAAGTATGAATAGCCCCCTTTATGTTCAGCCACCACCATTGAAACCACAGCCACCACTATTTCCTAACCTGTATCAATTGCAGTGGAAGGTGGGTTTGGGACTGGAAATACAGCTACACATCAGAAAAAGACAAAGCAAAGGAGCATACCCAAATAGAGGAAAGAATTGGATATCCCCCACCCCCAGCCCCTGATCCCTGGAGACAACGCTTTATAATATGGATACCGTAAGGTTCATCAACAGGTCATGCTGTAGTATTTATTTCAAAGGAGATATTTCATGACATTAATGACTAAGGTACTATGTGCATTTTAGCTTAAATTTAAACATTACATTATTATAAAAGATGAGTTTCTGAGAATTTTTTTTCACTTTACTTTGATTTCTGGCATACATGTGCTGAACATGCAGGTTTGTTACATAGGTATACATGTGCCATGGTGATTTGCTGTACCTATCAACCCGTCATCTAGGTTTTAAGCCCCACATGCATTTGATACTTGTCCTAATGCTCTCCCTCCCCTTCCCCCCACCCCCAGACAGGCCCCAGTGTATGATGTTCCCTTCTCTGTGACCATGTGTTATTGTTCAGCTCCCACTTATGAGTGAGAACATGTGGTATTTGGTTTTCTGTTCCTGTGTTAGTTTGCTGAGGGTGATGGTTTCTAGCTTCATCCATGTACCTGCAAAGGATATGAACTCATTTTTTATGGCTGCATAGTATTCCATGGTGTATATGTGACACATTTGGATGTGCCTTTATAGTAGCCATTTTTTATGGCTGCATAGTATTCCATGGTGCATATGTGCCACATGTGGATGTGCCTTTATAGCAGAATGATTTATAATACTTTGGGTATATACCCAGTAATGGAATTGCTGGGTCAAATGGTATTTCTGGTTCTAGGTCCTTGAGGAATCACTACACTGTCTTCCACAATGGTTGAATTAATTTACACTCCCACCAACAGTGTAAAAGTGTTCCTATTTCTCTGCATCCCCGCCAGCATCTGTTGTTTCCAGACTTTTAAATGATCGCCATTCTAACTGGTGTGAGATGCTATCTCATTGTGGTTTTGATTTGCATTTCTCTAATGACCAGTGATGATGAGCTTTTTTTCATATGTTTGTTGACCACATAAATGTCTTCTTTTGAGAAGTGTCTGTTCATATCCTTCGCCCACTTTTTGATGGGGTTGTTTGATTTTTCTTGTAAATTTGTTTAAGTTCCTTGTAGATTCTGGATACTAGCACTTTGTCAGATGGATAGATTCCAAAAATTTTCTCCCATTCTGTAGGTTGCCCATTCACTTTGATGATAGTTTCTTTTTCTGTGCAGAAGCTCTTTAGTTTAATTTGCTCCCATTTGTCAATTTTGGCTTTTGCTGTCATTGCCTTTGGTGTTTTAGTCATGAAGTCTTTGCCCATGCCTATGTCCTGAATGGTATTGCCTAGGTTTTCTTCTAGGGTTTTTATGGTTTTAGGTATTACATTTAAGTCTTTAATCTATCTCGAGTTCATTTTTGTTTAAGGTATAAGGAAGGGGTCCAGTTTCAGTTTTCTGCATATGGCTAGCCAGTTTTCCCAACACCACTTATTAAATTGGGAATCCTTTCCCTGTTGCTTGTTTTTGACAGGTTTGTCAAAGATCAGATGGTTGTAGATGTGTGGTGTTATTTCTGAGGCCTCTGTCCTGTTCCATTGGTCTATATATCTGTTTTGGTACCAGTATCATGCTGTTTGGGTTACTGTAGCTTTGTAGTATACTTTGAAATCAGGTAGTCTGATGCCTCCAGCTTTGTTCTTTTTGCCTAGGATTTTCTTGGCTATACAGGCTCTTTTTTGGTTCCACATGAAATTTAAAGTAGTTTTTTCTACTTCTGTGAAGAAAGTCAATGGTAGCTTGATGGGAACAGCATTTAATCTGTAAATTACTTTGAGCAGTATGGCCATTTTCACAATATTGATTCTTCCTATCCATGAGCATGGAATGTTTTTCCATTCGTTTGTGTTCTCTCTTATTTCCTTGAGCAGTGGTTTGTAGTTCTCCTTGAAGAGGTCCTTCGCATCCCTTGTACGTTGTATTACTAGGTATTTTATTCTCTTTGAAGCAATTGTGAATAGGAGTTCACTCATGATTTGACTCTCTGCTTGTCTATTATTGGTATATAAGAATGCTTGTGATTCTTGCACATTGATTTTGTATCCTGAGACTTTGCTGAAGTCATTTATCAGCTTAAGGAGTTTTTCGGCTGAGACCACGGGGTTTTCTAAACGTACAGTCATGTCATCTGCAAACAGACAATTTGACTTCCTCTCTTCCTATTTGAAAACCCCTTATTTCCTTCTCTTTCCTGATTGCTCTGACTAGAATTTCCAGTACTATGTTGAGTAGGAGTGGTAAGAGAGGGCATCCTTGTCTTGTGCCGGCTTTCAAAGGGCATGCTTCCAACTTTTGGCCATTCAGTATGATATTGGCTATGGGTTTGTCATAAATAGCTCTTATTATTTTGAGATATGTTCCATCCATACCTAGTTTATTGAGTATTTTTAGCACGAAGGGGTGAATTTTATCGAAGGCCTTTTCTGCATCTATTGAGATAATCATGTGGTTTTTGTCATTGGTTCTGTTTATGTGATGGATTACGTTTATTGATTTGTGTATGTTGAACCAGCCTCGCATCCCAGGGCTGAAGCCCACTTGTTTGTGGTGGATAAACTTTTTGACGTGCTGCTGGATTCGGTTTGCCACTGTCCATTTATACAATGGGGCCTTCAAATAAGAGGAATAGTACTCATGAAGGAGAGGGGATAAATTTGGTCTAAATGTCAGAGACAAAACGGCAATCCAATAAGCAACTAGGTATGGGGTGAGTGGTTATAGGGAAGAAACAGGCAAACATAGCTTCCATAGTGTCATTTTCCATGCTTGAAAGCTCTCAACTGTTTTTGTCCAGCTTGTAGTAGGAGTTTATAACGTTAAGCCTGGAATTTGACATCTGTAAAGATAGAGCCTCAACCTACCTGTCTTATCTTCTTTCTGATTTAAAATGTCACTGGCCATGAGTTCCTGCCATCCACCAAATATTCTCTGTCTCTTTTCATCTCCTGGCCTTTTTTATGCCATTTCATACGCCTAGAATTATTCCACATATCGATTTTGCCTGGCTTCAAAACTAATTCCTATGTGGCCTCTTCCTCCAGAAAAACTCCCTAATCATCCATAGCACTAAGCTCTTGTTTCTTTGAATGTCCTTGGCACTTCATCTGCACCTCTTTTGTATCCTGTATCTGTCCTCTTCTCAAGAGGGAAGCCAGTTTTCCTAATATCTCAAAAGTCAGACCGTGCTGCTCCATCACTCAAAACCCTGCCATGGCTTGCATCTCATTCAGGCAAATGCCAAAGTCCCTAGAAAGCTCTATTTCTGTGTGTCTCAGTCAACCTCCATTACATTACATCCATGCCAGAAACTGTTACAAAAAAATCTATGCCCAGGACTTACGCTAGACCAAGTGAATCCATTCTCTGGGGGCACTATTTTTTAGACATTTCTAGGTGACTACTCCAAAACTAAGACAGAATTAATTGAAAACTGGAAGCCTATTCTGAGCTGAAGCTGTAAGAGGAGTTGATTAACTGCTTCCTTTTCACTTTGTGGACTAGAGGCCCATTTTTACTACAGATATGTTTCTTTAGTATATCTGTGCATGCCTCAAGTTCTAGCTTCTATAAATAAGCAGGTCAACACACAAGAGCTTACTTAGAACACAGCACCTCTCAGAAGCTGCCAGTTTCTATGATTTAAAAATATTCTTTTTTCCTCTGTAGAAAATGATGAAATCTGCTTTATCTGCAGAATAATAAAACATTTAAAATAAATATTTAATTCATGTTTATGAAATTAGCAGTTAATACAAAGCCAAAGCTGTGAGGGTCACCAAGTATATTAGAGAAGAGAACATTGTTAGAATCCAAGAAGCATTTGCTAACATGAGGCAATGAAGTGAATCTAGTGAAATGAACTACAATTGGAGAAACATAAGCCAAATACATAAGTACTGGGTTTAAGAGATATGGGGTAGAAGTAGCATGCATAAGAGATATTTAGGGGATTGACTATCAGTCATGGGTACAGTGGTTCTCAAATATTAGCATGTATCAGAATCAATAGAAGGGCTTATTAAAACACAGTTTGTTAGGCTTCACTCTTTGAGTTTCTGATTCAATAGATATGAAATCGGGTCTGAGAATTTGCATTTTTAACAATTCCTAGGTTACACTGATGCTGATCCTGTTGATACAGGAACAACTGTTTAAGAACTGCTAGTGTATTATGACTGTTAAAAGAAATAAAGTGACTGTAAATTTAGGCTGAAAAAGTAAAATTTGTGCACTAAAATAGGAAATGATAACATAGCAGAAGTATTCTCAATTAATTCTAATAGCCATCTATGAGACACTATATTCTGTTTTAAGTGCCACAACCAGGAGCATGACCAGAGAGAAAAATCACTGATGGTGAAGAGACATTCAACTGTGCCATATAAGGAACTTATAAAGAAATAGGGCCGTGTGGTTCGGAGAATATACAACTTAGGTAAGACAAAATGGCACTGCTCTGTTCAAATCTCTAAAGGGCTATTATTTGCAAAATAGAGATTTACTTTGAGTAGCATCATGGAATAGAGCCAGAATCCATGGTAAGACATCCAAAGAGGCAGACTTCAGTCTGTAAAGCAGATACTTCAGAAGTAAGATATCACTAGCAACCGGAGCTATCCTGCGTTATGAGGTGCTGTTTCCCAAGGTGTTGAGCTGTTATCAGTTGAGATATTCAAGCACAGATTGAAAGAAATCCAACCATCATATGTGGAATTAGAAATAAATGGCCTCTGAGGCACCTTCAGGACTGAGAAATTCCATGAGCATATGAATATTGCTGTATTTAATTATATAGTCTGTTCAATATAAAAATACTGCATTTTGGGGAAAAAAAGACAAACCAGAGGACGATGTAGCATACGAAGCCTGGTATCTCTAAATCATGGTTGAAAATATGAGGCTAGAGTAATTTAAGAAAAGGCTAGAATTGGTGAAATTTTACGCTAAACGGAGGAAATGGTGGATTTAATAAGGAGTAGTGAGACGAAATTCAAACAGACTTCAGGGTGAGAAGAAAAGGTTCAGATAAAATTAATATAAAAAAGTACACATAGATGTTAGACCAAATGCCGCCAAGAAAGCAAAATAGGTAAAAATTCACGCTTTCCATAGAAATTTACAATCCACAGAAAATACTTTATTTCTATTCTGACATCTAATATTAATTGCAGTTATGTGTGAGCCCAAGTTTTATGTGAATGATCTGGGAATTGATCATAGTTAAGGAAACTCATGAGGATTTTAGGTCAGATAAATGTCTGTGTCACGAGTGCTGAAGTAGTAAATCAGCCTGCGGGTGGAATAAAAGAATAAAAAGCTTGAAAAAGAAGGTGATTACTGTAAAAATACTACTTTACTAATCAGGGGAATCAGGTCAGAGAGGATGACAAAAGTCGGGGGATACATCCTCCATAATGATGTCTTGGGCAAACGGTGATATTTGATATCAAGAGCCTCTTCCCATTCAATGATAAGCTCACTGGCCTCTTCCCATTCTTGGCCTTTTAATCCTCTGTGTCCTTCAGCTCTCCTGACTCTCCATGCTGAGCAAAAATTGTAATACCACACACGTTCATTTTGAATGAGGGAGTGCGAATGTGTTATAATACATTATACGCATATTTTACTTACAAGCTTTATACCCCCTGTTAACAAATTTTAATGTATCATGGGAAATGTGGAAACAATTTAGGGTGGACAGGGGTCTTACTCAGAGCCACTAAAATAACAGCCTACTCTCCACTTCTAAGAGCAACAGGGATCACACCAAAGCTTTGGAAGAATCTAATTGGAGCCAACTCCAACATAAATCACTTTAATCTGGAAAACAGCACATAGTGTATGCTAGTCCTTCTGGAATCAATTTTCAAAGCACGACATAGTTGCCATTTCTCAATGGCAAATGCTGTTATTACGATCATTAAATTAAGTGTCTGGATTCTGTTGGCTAGCTAGCTCAGCTGTGGAGAAGGTCACTGTAGTAAGATCAATATAGTGGGTTCAATTCCTATTTATAGCAATACAAGCCACAAACTGTTAGAGCTGAAAGGACTATTACAGACCAGCTAGGCCAGACCTTTGTTCTCTAGATGTTTAAAATTTGCACGCATACCCTAGAACTTTAAGTATAATTAAAAAAAAAAAAAAAGTTCAGGTGCCTTGCTGGAGAGATGGCACCGAAGGAGAGAATCCCAGCTAGTCCCAACTGTTCTGGCCATCTATGCTCAGGGGCCAGATGTGGGAGTGAAGAATAGCAGAACTACCTGGCTGAGCCTAGCCCAGATCACAAATTAAATAAATAAATAAATAAATAAATAAATAAATAAATAAATAAATAATTGTTTAAAGCCTATATATATATATATATATATATATATATATATATATATGGGCCTCATGATAGAAGGGAATTGCCAAATTCAAAGAATGAGTGAATAAAAAAGCTGGAATATGACCATCGCATTGTACGAACCTTGTCACATGTTTCATCCTCAATCAAAATATACACGTCTGACCAGAGGGTGACTAATCAGCCTGGCTTGTCCTCAACTTTCTCAGTTTGAGCATTAAAATACCATGTTTTAGGAAAAGTGTCAGTTCCAAGGAAAGTGGAATTGTTGGTCGTTCTACCTGATTAGCTATTCCAAAAACATAGGTCTGTTGACCAAAGATGGTTGGCCTGGAATAGACAGTCACATGGAACACATGTCACAAAAGTCATTACTGGCACCAACTTCTACTAGATTAGGGGCTCTTAACATCCTCCTTCTAGTCCTCTTCCTCCCACTCTTCTTCTTCCTACTTAAAATACATACATTTAACAATTAAAATAATGATATAGGCCAGACACGGTGGTTCAACCCTGTAATCTCAACACTTTGGGAGGCCAAGATAGGAGGATGGCTTAAGCTCAGTAGTTTAAGACAAGCCTGGGCAACACAACGAGACTCCATCTCTACAAAAAATTTTAAAAATTGTGAAGCGTGATGGTGCACACCTGTGGTCCCAGCTACTCAGGAGGCTGAGGCAGGAGGATCACTTGGATTAAGTGAGCCCGGGAGAAAGAAGCTGCAGCGAGCCATGATCGCACCACAGCACTCCACCTTGGGTAACAGAGATCCTGTCTCATGATAATAATAACAATAATAATAATTCTAAACAAATAAAGAGTTTATAGTATGTGCCTGGCATTGTTCAATACGTTGGGTGTTCAGCAGTGAACATGACAGAAGAAATTCCTGATATCATGAAGCTTACATTCTTGTTAAAGAGGCAGGCAAATAAAAATAAAAATTAAAACTAAAAAATTAAAAAGCCTCCAAAGTTAAACAAATAACTAAGTGAAATAGATAATCTGTCAGATGGCAATGAGTGATAAGTATAAAAATCAATCAGAAAGTCAAGGAGAGAGTGACATTTGTGGGGATATTGACACTTTAGATAAGGTTGTCAGGTAAAGCCTCTCTGATAAGATGTGGCTTTATAATTTACCAAGTCCTTTCCAACATTAATTCAATTATACCAGCATTTTTAAAAGAGCAGTGAAATTAAATTACACCTAAGTTTATATCCCCATTTATTTTAGTAGAGTCCTTTGTTGCAAAGTACAATATTTTAATTTCTCCCTTGAGTTCCTATAGCTGCTATGTTAGTAGTGGCATTTGGTCTGTGGGGTCATTCAATAAAAGTTATCTTTTTGGGGAGTTCTTAAGATCCCCAAAAGCCATGGCAGATGCAATACAAATATTATCCAAAAAGGCCCTTTAAAAACATAATGCAAATTGTTTATGCTTCCAGATGTTGCAGAAAAATAAAAATTAAGCTCTACTGAATGATAATGCCTAGCAAAGTGCCTGAGGAAACAGTATATATTCAATAAATATTTGCTGAATGAATGGATTTGTAGAAAATCAAAATCAAAGCCTTTTGTCTTGATTCAAATGTCACTTTCTCAGTAAGACCTGCATTACCTTTATATTTAGAACTGTAACTCCTCCCCAACATGACTTATCCTCCTTCTTTGCTACTTTGTACTTCATATCACTTATACCATTTTAACTCTTTTAAATATCATTTATTTTATTGTCTTTGTCCTCTCACTAAAAATGTAAGTTTCATGAAAGTGTAAATCTTTATGTTTTATTTACTGGCATATCAAATCCCCCAAATTATGCCTGTAAATTAGGTGCTCAAAAAAGAAAAATAAAACACTTGATATATAAGAGTCCATGGTTTTCTCTCAAATTCATGCCCTCTTCTCCAAATCAACTGCCAATACTTTAGCACTGTTACCTCACCATCTTTTATATGGACTACTACAATGCTCTCCTAATAGATTCCTCTCCCACTTCTCCAAAGGAATTTCTACATAGCAGTCAAAATAACTCTTCTGAAATTAAAGATGTATGATGCTCTTCTGTGACTTATAATTCTTAGGGAAAATCCAAAATCCTTCTCTTAATCTAGAAGACCTGACTTCAGATAGTTTCTACCTCTCTCTTTAGCCACACCTCCTTTCCTTTACGTATACAAATTTTAAACTTCATTATTTCTTATGACCTAAACCACCACCCTCAAGCATAATGTGTACAGGACTTCTTCATAGTAAACGAGGACTCCATTCTTCCATTTTCTCTGGCCGTAAACCTTGGAAGCATCCTTTTTAATACTCCATATCAACTCTATCAACAAATCATGCTGGCTTACCTTCATAATATACCTCAAATCTAATCTCATCTCAACGCCTCCACCACGACCACTCTAGGTGATGTCACCACCATCATCTCTTGACTTAGTTACTATAATTGCTTTCGAACTGGCCTTCCGGCTTCCATTCTTGCCCTTCTAAAGTCTATTATTCACAAGCAGTCAAGGTAACCTTTCATGATACAACTTAGACCTGCTCATCTCTTGCTCTCCACTCTCTAATGGCAGCTACCTTATTTACAATAAAACCCAACATCCTCATCATGACCTATAGCCCCTCCATAGTGTGGCCCCTGTCTGGGTATCCAATATCACTGCATACTACTCTTTCTAACTGGGCTGCACTCACAGTGCACTCCATATTTCCATATAACTTAGTGCTATTCCTGTCTCAGGACCACGAACTTGCTATTCCTTCCACATTGCTTCCCCTCTTACTTCACTTAAGTCTCAGCTGAAATGTCACCACATCAGGAACTCCTTTATAAAAAGGCCCTCCCTATTCTCTATCCTTTTGTCTTGCTTTATTTTTCTTCACGGTACTTCTCATCATTTAACATTATAAGTTTATTCACTTACCTGTTTATTGTTCAGATTTCTCACGAAAATGCAAGCTGTATCAGGGTAGGGACTTTGCTTTGGTCACTGCTCTATACCAAGAACCTGAAATAGTGTCCGGAACGTAACAAGCAACCAATAAATATTTGTCCAGTGAATGAATGCTCTCAAATTTGCATATACTATTTTCTCACATTAAAATGCCTTTTATCACCTTTTGTGAAATATGAAAAGAATTTTTCAAGGCCCACCTCAATGTTACTTCTATTCAGTACTCTCTTCTCCATCCCATCACACCTCTTGAAAAATCAATCTATTCTTTCCCTAACTTGCCCTAGTATTTCATCCATATCTTCACAGCAGTAAATCCTCTGCATCGTACCATATTTTTTCTTCCTAAAACTGAGATAGTTACTCCCATCCCAGTCTGGTAGCCCCTTTAGGACAGAAGCTATGTAGATGTTTAAATAGTCCCCTACTTGCTATGCAGGACTGGTTATGAAATTTGCAAGGTCTAGTGTAATATGGAAATGTAAAAATTTGAAGTGCCTTAGGACTCTCAAGATGGCAACAGCAGAACTTTGAACCAAGCACGGTCCCGTCCAAGCATGAGGTCCTGTGCAGTTGCACACTCCTAGGAAGCTGGCCCTGCTCCTCTGATAATCAGATACCTGACCTTTCCCTTAATGTGCTATTCACAATCCAGTGCCTCTCTGAAGCCTTCCCTGTCCCCCCTCTGCCACAGGCAGAGGTATCTGAGTCTTTTTCAATATATTTACAACCTCCAATTCTTACTTTTATGAATATTTTTCATATTATATTGCAATTTTCTGTCCATTAATTGCTGAACTCTACCAGACAGCAACTTTGACTGATTTATCATGCAGCCTGCACTTAGTACATACTAAATAAATGCTCTTTCATCAGGTAAGTCTCTATTGGAAAACCAAGCCTTTAATTATTATCCATACGAAAGTAAGTTTTGCAGAATTATATGCAAATAACTCAAAACAACTCCCCTAATATTGTTGAACCCAGGGTGCTTCATGGAAAGGACTATACTTTCCAAATAAAATATTTTCTTAATTTCCTTATCCCTGCATTCTAAAGATTATAATACCAAGCCTTTGAATTTTGTGGATTCCAGATGAACTGGATCTGTGCCATATGTACGTAGTTTGATAAATGTTAAAATGGCACCAGCTAAAATATTGACATTTATCATTTGGGATGGGAATTGACAAGTAATTAGTAAAGAAAGCAAGTCAAGTCTATTGCCCGCTGATGTTTAATTCTGTTTTGACTCCGTTTGATACCCCTAGCACATTAACTTCTATTTCTTTCATATTCCTTTTAGCGTGTGTTCTGATTCTTGCTTTCTATGTATCACAGAATGAATCTTCTAGTCCCCTGTAGTCTCACTGTCTGGTTAAATAACTTCTACGAACATAATTGCATTATTTTCTTAAAGGCAAACAGATATTAAGCTTCAGAATTTAATTTGATAATTACAATTTCAAGGAGGCGTAACAGTAATATCTTTTGCATAAACTGTCTTTAAAATGATGCTCCTCTATCGTACTGTTCAAGGCATTTAGTTCTAAGCAGAACCACTATTATGAGTTGTTAGTTTACGCCAAAATGCAGTGAAAGGCCTGGTCTTCAGAGGACATTATTAATTTAAAATGCATTGTCCCATTTAAATGCTACACAGGGGACTTGCTGAAACATGGGATATAATGAGACCCTTCTGCTGCTTCTGCTAACTCAACCTCCTTGTATAGGTCTAAGACTTCTGTTACCCTGGTTTTGTTAGTTTGAATATCCAGGGTCTAATGAGCTATTACAGTAGCTAGATTAATAATTCAAAAGTTATCTAAACAGTTCACTATGGCTTAAAAGAAAAAAAAAACGCTGGATAACAGACTGTTAAATTTGGACTGACCCATTCTATTTTAACTGTTCCCCAAGAAGTTCCCCAAAAACAAGGGTAAAAAATCACCCTGAATTCACCTTGAAACAATAATAAAAAAAAAAGCAGACAAGGATTCTATACAAATTGAAAAAAATAAACATAGCAAAAGTCCGTAAAACGTAACTGATATTAAATTTATGTTATCCTGCAAAGGGGAGGGGATGCACCAAGGCAGATTTAATCTGATGTCAGTTGAAGTTAAATTTGTTCACCGTTTCTTGCAACAAGAGTTACAGAGTACATTTACCCTTGTTTCACAAGCCTGGCCAGATTACTCCTCTGATCAAAGCACTCTAATGATCCCCGGTACCCTCAAGATAAGACCCCAGCTCCTTAGGGTGGCAAGCACTGCTCTCCATGATCAGGTGCCTGAATGTCTTTGCCCTCACAATGCCACCCATACTCAGTTTCCAGTCACACCTGTGCTTTCCCACACAAGCCATCTCCTCTCTCGCCTCTCGCTTTTGTCCATGTTGTTCCAGGTTTTTAAAATTGAACATCCACTTTCTTGTTCTTTACCGAAAGAACTGACTCATCCTTTAAGTCTCTGCTCCAGTATTAGCCTTTTCTTTCCCTCCTACTTCTATCCAGGGCCCTGCTAACACCCATTTTCTGCACTAGCACAGCCCCTCTTCCTAGAGATCACAATATTCATTAGACGATTATAATTGTTTGCGTGTATATCACCCTCATCAGGCTGTGAACTTCAGAAGGGCGAGACTGTCTATCTCACCTTTTTAATCTACAATGCTTGCTATATAGTAGGTGTTTAATAAATATTTGTTGAATGTGTGGAGGAAGTAGAAATCACTTCTAACAGGGGCTGTTAAACAATGGAGTGAAATAACTCAGAAGGCAGTGGCTTCTTTATTACTGGGGGTTTCCAAACAGAGAATAATCTACTATCAGTCTGAGGTCTCCTCCTGCTCAGATCTGAAGCAAAGTAAATTTCTACAAAGCCAAAAAGAAGTAATTCCTTCACTTCAATTAAAACATCGTGATGGAATTCAAAGTGATGTACAACTCTCATCTGATATGAATCTCCTGCTGTTGTCTAAATAACTCCACCTACATTATCTCATTTTGTCCACAGTGTTATGTGAGACCTATGTTGTCTCTGTCCTACAGATAAGGAAACTGAAGCCCAGCAAGGTAGTAGTAACAGAGCCAAGATTCGGATTTCGCTCTGTCGGACTCAGAGTTCAGGGATCCCTCCATTACATCCTATTTAAATGATCCCTTATAGTGCCAAGATTCCAAAGCAAGTTGCATGAACCTAATATATTAATAGAAGATCAGAGATACTTGGAAAGAAAGATTGCCTAAGGGAAAGTTTGCTAAGTGAGTCTCAATGTTTGTTACCTTCCCCTTGTCCTGCTTTCCACTAGCCCCTTTATGCTTTCCTCTTGCCCTAAGAATGATGCTGGACATTTTAAATAAGTGAAATGAAGTCATCCACTAATAAAACACAGATGATATTATTACTTTCACTATTGATTTGTACCAACATTTAAATAATCTATTAAGCCTGCTTTGGAATTTGAGAGGTTGTTTCAGGAATCACTGAAAAATAAAACATTTAAAGGTCTGAATGGAAAATAGTAGTCTTGTTGGTTGAATCTGACTGCATTTTGGGTTATCTTCATGGAGTTTTGGAGAGACTTCTTTAGGCAAAAGTATATCATAAATTATGTATGTTTGCATCAGAAATTAATGATCAGAACTCTGAATACTGCAATGTTGAGAATTTCAACTCTCCAAGCAATATTTCATCTCACTCCAAAATATATGCAGAAAACAAGTTGATATTAAATTTTTCTTTTTTATCTCATGACATCGAAACACTACTCTGCTAATATTATTTTTAGAGGAAAGAGTCTTAATTATTATTTAACTTTTGCTTCAACATCAGCCATGAAAATAAATTATGAGGAGAATATAATAATACCCGTTGTTGATCCCTTTTCCGGTTTCACCTCTGTTTCCCTTTGGACAGAAAATGAAAGATAAAGCAATAATGAAGAAAACAGAACTGTGCTCATCTAGAGCATTTGGCTTTTTACATGACATGCATCACCTTCGTCAAAAATGATGACACTCAATGTCTTACTTGAAACATGTATCCCAAACTTTAAACTTTATAACATCAACTTCTATATCCCTCACTAATAGCTATAAAATGGTTATTAATTTCTCTGGAAAGAGAATAATGTATATAAAGAGCATCTCACTCAATGGTGTATTGAATGACACAAATGTTACTTTAATGTTAAAACTTCTTTTTTTGCTTTTGCCTTTCCAAATTACACAAAACTATGCCGGATGAAGGCGGTCTCGCTGCCACATTCATAGGAAAAACAAAATCAGAATATTTGTCTAGCTGAAATTGAGCAGCAAAGACTTCATGTTGGCATTTTACTTCCTAGGGAGTAGAACAGGCGCAGGGTGTGATAGAATCTCAGCTCCTTTGGCTAGAGGGCGTAGAGGAAGGAGTTTTAAGCCAGGATTATGTAGGACATGGCAGCAGGAGAGGTGTTAAAGCAGAATCTGTTTCTATTGATCTGAGCTGGCCAAAAAACAACAGCTGAAATGCTAGATGACCTTGCTCAAAGTAATTTAACTTCAAGCAGCCTCAGTTTTTCATGTATAAAATGGTATTATACTAATACCTACCTTAAATTGTTGTTATGGGGTTTAATGAGATGATATTATAAGCACTTAGCATAATGCCACAGCATATCATGAATGTTTAGCAAATGCCAATTGGATGAAATGAAGACATGTGTAAGGACTAGGTACTGTGGAGCAGACTGAGAGAGCTGAGATGTGACAATCTAGTTTGGGAGACAGAAGGGCATATGCTGAAAACAAAAGCCAACCATATTATGTATTCCTTACCAAGTGCTTAAAGATGGGAAAAGCTGCAGGATGATCAAGGACCAACCAAAATAGATGGTACAATATGATAACCTAGGAAGACATTTGTCCTTATAAATATTAATAACAGCAGAGTGGAATGAGGATGAAGCAGTACAGACGAATCAAAGAACTCTTCTAGACTAGGGATTTACTGGAAAATATCAAGGATTTCTTAGGTTTAGAATGCCCTAAAGACTAACTCTGTATTATAAATATATCCTGTACAAAGCAGTTCTGGTACATTTTACTATCCAAACATTCTACTTTTGACCCTAATTCTTGGGTTTCAAGTCAAGTCTGGGGAGTGGTTAACGTAGTTAAAACCTTTCCTCCAACCTTTTTGTTCACATAAGCTCAACCATGATAATGGCAGTAATTATCCACGTGCCCAAGCTTTTTAAAATTTCAAGTTCTTTCTCAGATTATCTGTACACTTTCACCACAGCACCCTATGTTTAAAACATATCCCCCATTTTAGACATGCAGGAAATGAGAGAAGAAAAGTGACTTGCCCGAAGTCTCATATCCAGAAATTAGCAGATATGGAATCCACCTCTCTCTGCCACCAAAAATGAGTTAGGAGTCATATGGCTCTTATACCATATTACCTTGTGACAATCCCTGGGCTTTTCTGTTTTCCCTATTATATTAGAACTTCCTAAAATGGAAGAGCTTGTCTGATTCATCTCTGTATATACAGTGAGTTTGGGTGTGCCTGGCACAGAAATGATGCTCAAGAAATGTTTACTGAATGCAATAAATGTTTAATAAATTAATGAAAAGTTGAACAAATGAAGGAATAAACAGACGAACAAACTTGGGTCTCCCAACTTTATAGATTATCTCTATATCTTAATAAATGAAAGCCAAACATAACATATAAAATTTATAACTTTTCTCTACACTCCTTCCTTATTCTGACTTTCTCTCTCTTCTGGTCTCTGTTTCTCTCTCACACACACACAAACACACACACACGCACACACAAACACATCACACCCCACTTTTTAAAGAACTTACGAAAAAAAGGACTGGTTGTATGGAAACTTTCATATGGGACATTGAAGTTTTATTGACTCTGAATATACCTTAAAAGGAATATTAAAAGTGAAGAGTATCAGACTCTACTAGCTATAAAAAAACAGAGATCAGATTCTGTGATAAATTTATATTCTCAGAAGCTATATTTTACAGACATACACTAAAGTTTACTTCTCAAAAGTCACTCATCAATTAATAACCTTCATAGTAGTAAAACACATGTATTCCATTCCAGGAAATGAGGCATGTCACTTGCATGGAAATTGTAGGTATGGGATGCAATTAGCAAAGCATCTTTTTCTTCAAACTCTAATTGCATGTTTGGAGGTGCTTTGGGTGATAGATAGACCTTCCATGCAATAAACAAGAAGCAAGTGTGATTAACCTTGTGCGCCGACCAGCAGACCAGAGAGAGGTTTACTAACCATTGCCAGTTTAGGAAGAGGTCCATCTCCTTTAGAATTTCAGTATAATGACTGTGAAATATCAAATAATTGAGATTCAGGTGTTAGATTCCTGCAATTATTAATACAAATGAATAGGAAAAGCAGGTAAATATTAATAAAAACAAAATGCAACAAAAATAGAAGGACAAGCTCAGCTTTCAGAAGCCAAAGGGAGCATGACAGCACCCACATTTGTGACCTCCACCTTGCTTATCAAAAAAGTGCTATGCAGTTTACCTTTTTTTACCCAAAATTACACTGATTCAATATTTCTTAAAATCTACAATTTCATCATGAAAAGATCCTGGGGTATTACAAAACAACAAGCAGTAGGATTCACAGTAAAATCCACATTTTTAACCAGGCAGAAACTACATTACATGTTTTACCCATTTAACCTTAGAAATAGTCACAAGAAATCCACTAAATTAAAGTCAATCCATTGAGTGTCATTGAGTGTTCATTGAGTGTCACCTCTGTCTTAGGCATGGTATCAACTATCTGTGTTATGTTACTTTTTAATGAATATGACACTAAAACCTGTTCGGAAAGTTTTTGCTCCTTTCCTCTCTCCTTGACCTCCATATCGAGACAGGAACAAACATATTCAAAATTGCCACAATTTAAAAAAAACAGAATGAAATCATAATCTGAGTACGTCACTTCCAACAGAAAAGTGAAATTCACCAACTCACTCCCAGATAGCCGTAAAAACAATTATTTAAAATAGGTTTCCTACATCTGCACTTCTTATAAATGAAAACAGCTCTTTAAGGTATTTTGCATGTGAAAGTTCATGTATTATTATTGAGGTAATAATAAATAAAAGGATAAGAAGACCGATTAAAGTGTAAATCACACCTAGAACAAAACATCTTCCAATTTTTAAATAATCTGTACTACTAATTTATACCAGTACTCGCACTTGTAATTCAGAACCCAACGTAGTAACCTTTTGCATTTTAGCCACTCTCCTTCCTTCTTAGCAGTCTTGATTTACAGAACACCAGTCTTTTTTGTTTTTGCTACTTCTCTGTTCATTTCGAATTTTGTTATTTTGCAATTTCCTCAGCATTTGATCCTGAAATTATGGCATACCTCAGGACTTTCTTTTCCACCCTGTTTTCATTATACCAGAGTAAGCTCATTAACTTCCATAGCTCTAACAGAAAACTCCCATTTATTTTTATCACAGATCATTCACCCAAACTCCTGTCTTACATTTGCAACCGCCTATCGGACTTCTACTCATAGGCATCCCACAGGCTTTAAACTCGATGTGTCCCAATTAAAACACAGTATCATACCCCATCTTAATTTTCCCTTTTAAAACACCCTCTGTGTGATGGGCATGGCCATCTGATAAGGCAATCATTCTTCACTTGTTTCTCTCACCTCTCAAATCCAATCAGCTACCACAGCTGACCTTGAACAACAATGGTTCGAATTGCATGGGTCCACCTGTATATGGATTTTCTTTCACCTCTGCCACCTATGAGATCACAAGACCCCTTTTTTCCCCTTCTCCTCTTCAGCCTACTCAATATGAAGACAATGAGAATGAAGATGTTTATGATAATCCACTTTGACTTAATGAATAGTAAATATATTTTCTCTTCCTTACGGTTCCTTTAAAAACATTTTCTTTTCTCTAGCTCACTTTATTGTAAACATAAAGTATATAATAGATATAACATAAAAATATGTGTTAGTCAACTGTTTATGTTATCAGAAAGGCTTCCTGTCAACAGTAGGCTATGAGTAGCTGGGGATGCAATAGTTATCCACGATTTCCCACAGCATGAGAGGGTTGGTTTCCTTAACTTTCACGTTGTTCAAGGGCCAACTACACTTCATAGATAATGTAGGAAAGTTACAATAGAATAATTTCATTTCTTCCTCCTTTCCTTTAATAAATTGTTGGTATAATTTTACTTCAGCTTATGTTATTAACATCTAATAAATTATTAATTTCCCCTTACATATACAATTACCTATAAAATAAATTTTAAAAATAGAAGAAAGCCTTTCATATTTACCATGTCTGTACCATTTCTGGAGATCGTCATTCATCTGAATATGTCAACGTTTCAGTTTGTTATCATGTTTATTCAGCCAAAGGGCTTCCTTTAACATTTCTTGCAGTGTACTTCAGCAAGCAATGAGTTCTCTTATTTCTATGTTTTTTGGAAGTCTTCATTTTACCTTCATTTAGAAAGATATTTTTGCTGAACGTAAAATTTTAGATTCAGAGTTTCTTTCACTTTTAAATACGTTATTCTGTTGTCTTTTTATTTACATAGTTTGTAAAAAGTCTTATCTTTGTTCCTCAGTATGTGGTATATCTTTTATTTCTGGCTGTTTAAAAATATTATCTATATTATGAGGTTTCAGCAATTAATTATGATATGCTTTGGAGTGGTTTTCTTTGCATTTATCATGTTTGTAGTTAATCAAAGTATTTGGATTTGTGGGTTTATATCATATCTTACATTTGGAGAAAAAGTAGATGGCTATAGTTTTACTGTTCAATCCCAAACTACTTATTTGGAGGGAACTTTATGCTTATGTCAGAGTGTTTGATGTTGTCTCACAGGTTGGTAATGCTTTGTCAATTTTTTCATTAATTTGTCTCTCTATATTTCAGTTATTTTAGTTTTTATTCCTACGTCTTCAGCTTACCACTTTTTTTTTTTTTTTTTTTGAGACGGAGTCTTGCTCTGTCGTCAGACTGGAGTGCAGTGGCGCGATCTCAGCTCACCGCAACCTCCGCCTCCCGGGTTCAAGTGATTCCCCTGCCTCAGCCTCCCAAGTAGCTGGGACTACAGGCATGCACCACCAACCCAGCTAATTTTTTGTATTTTAGTAGAGATGGGGTTTCACCATGTTGGCTAAGATGGTCTTGATCTCCTGACCTCATGATCCGCCAGCCTTGGCCTCCCAAAGTGCTGGGATTATAGGCATGAGCCATCGCGCCCGGCCCAGTTTAGCAGTCTTTTATTTTGCATTGGCTAATTCACTATTAATCCTGTAATGAACTCTTCTGATTTCAGGTACTGTATTTTTCACTCCTTGGTTTAATGCATGTATTTTATTTTCTCAGTTTTCATGTATTCTACTCACTATGCTTATTTTCCTTCAAATCCTTGAGCATATTGAACATATTTATAACGGCTGTTCTAAAAGTCCTTACCTGCTAATTCCATGACCTGGGTTATTTCAGAGACTATTTTTATTTACTGATTTTTTTTTTCATACTTATAAATTATACTTTTCTGCTTCTTCACTAGTCTAGTGATGTTTTGGTGAGTTTTGCTTTTGAGTGCTGGGAGGTTTTGTATTATTTTGGAGTTTAGGAAGGCAAGTTTGTTCTTGAAGGCAGTTAACTTACTTGTGGAGCATCTTTATTTCTTTCAAGAGTAGTTTGTAACCTTTACTCCATGATTAGGATAGTACCTCTACTAAGGTTTACCACCTCTGGGAGCTCCACTGAATGCCTAAAGTGGTCATTGAGGATCCTTTCCCTCTAGCTTTTCTGAAATCAAGAGTCCTAGGCATGTGTTCACTTTAGGAACTCCTGCGTTCAGCCCCCCAATTGTTTTTTATCTCATGATATTTTATCCTGCACATGCATGGTTTATTGCATGGCAACAAAATCAAGGGAGATTCTCTAAAGATTTCTACAGATTCTTCTCCCTGTAGCTTCCTCCTTTGTGGTATTCTGCTCTCCAAAATTCCAGCTACTTCAGCTTTTTCAATATCCAACCTTTGTCTCCTCAACTCAATGACAGTATGTGCCTGAGATGCCCCTCTCAGTACTGTGGCCTGGAAGCATTTCCAATTGCCAGACTATCATTCTATTTATTTGTTTTTTTTTTTCCTGTCTCTCAGTAATCACCCATGTATTTCCTGTTGGCCAATATATGAAAACGGTTGCTTCATGTAAGTTTATTTAGTTTTCTTTGTGTTTACGTAGAAGAGTAAGTCTGTGCCTTTTTACTACACCATGAGCAGGTCTGGAAGTTTCCTTGTGCACTTAAAAAAGAACTTTACATATTTCATTTCTCATTTCATTTGGAAAAAAATTCAAACAGAGAGAGTATATCAAAGAATGGAACAGTGATCTCCCATATACCACCATAGATACTGAACAATTAGAAACATTTTGCCATATTTAATCTAGATATACATATATACGAATACATGTTAGTGTATGTATGTGTATATATACAGAGAGAGAGAGACTGTTTTTGCGTAAGTTGCAGTTAAGTTTCAGGAATCACGAATCTTCATCTCTGAAACTTCAGCAAGAGTCTGCTAAAATTAAAAACATTCTTCTATAAAACCATAAAATAATTATCATCCTTACAATATTAACAATTTCAGAATACTTTCTAATAGAGTTATTTTCTTGAATTTCATCTTTTCCAAACCAGAATCTAATAAGCTTTTACTCATGGCATTTGGTTGTTATGTATGTTTAGTCTCATTTCATCTATAATATTGACTTTTTCATGGCACTGACATTTAAAGAAATCAAACCACATATTTTGTATAATATCCCACATTGTGGATGTGCCTAATTATTTCCTCAGGATCTCATATAAATTGTTTCTCTACTCTAAACTGAAAGGTAAGTCTATTTACTTACTTAGATTCAACTAAAATTTTTTGAAAACATAAATCATAGGTGGTATTGTGCACTTCATATTGGTTAATGTTACCTTTCTCTCATTTCTGTCAAAGTTTGTTCACATTATTGCTAGGTAGCTTAGTCTAAATAGGAGCCAGATATTGGTGGCAGAAAATACATTACCCATTACTGTCCTCACAATTTTTCTCTAATCTTAGTAGATGTGCTTCAGATCAAACTTTGCTTGCACTGCAGTGTTCAACTCCTACTAGTGTCCAGGCTATTTTCTTAAAATCCTCTTAGTAAGTAAAGCCCTATCTTCCTGCCATTCTGCTGTCACCTTCAGCCTAAGTTTCTCTCTCTCTCACACACACAAGACCTCACTAAAAGCCACAATAAGAAGATAACACATGTCAATACCCTGCATTTTTCCTAACATTTGCCTTATCAATATAGCCTTATGGGGTATGATTTCTATACCTTTTTTTCTTCACGTTATATTCAACTTTCTAGTGTCACTTTGTTTTAGACGCATCTCTTGTACAGAGCATGTAACTAATTTTTATTTAATCTTTGCATTTCTCCTTACATCTCGTGAAGGATGTTTCAGGCTCCATATGACAGGTGAATCGTACCTACAAAAAAGAAGGAGGCCAGGCGCGGTGGCTCATGCCTGTAATCCCAGCACTTTGGGAGGCCGAGGTGGGCAGATCATGAGGTCAAGAGATTGAGACAGACCATCCTGGCCAACATGGTGAAACCTCGTCTCTACTAAAAATACAAAAATTAGATGGGTGTGGTGGTGCATGCCTGTAGTCCCAGCTACTCAGGAGGCTGAGGCAGGAGAATTGCTTGAACCTGGGAGGTGGAGATTTCATTGAGCCGAGAGTGAGCTGAGATTACACCACTGCACTCCAGCCTGGTGGCAGAGCGAGACTCTATCTCAAAAAAAAAAAAAAAAAAGAAAAAAAAGAAAAAAGAAAAAGAAAGAACATGAAAATTGGGTAGGTCAACAACAATGTCCAAAATGGAATTTTAAAGCATTTACCTTTGTTGTCATAAAAAATGTATTTGGTGTTAGTTTGCTCATTTATTTTATTTTATGTTCATTGTTATTTTGTTTTCTCTGTCTGCTCTGTTTCTGGATAAGTTCTTGGCCTTTGTTTGCTTCCATCTTTCTCGGTGTTTTGGAAAATATTCCTCCCATTTTTAACTCTGCAAGTAGTTAACCATCTTTAGCATGCACATCTCTATTTATCAGAAAGTGAAGTGAAATTTTGTTTTTGATTGTCTCCTATGTAATATGAATAAATCAACACTTTTATCTCTCCCTCTTTATCCTTTGCAGTTTCGTTGTTATAATCTGAGAATTAAAACACGAATTACTGCTATAAAATTACTATTGTTTCCATTGTCTAGTATTGTTTTTTGACTTTTGCAGTGAATTTTGTAATCATATTTACAACATTAAATACACTACTGTATATTTAAGCGGACCCATTGCTTACTCCTAGTTCTTGATATCTATTTTCTCACACATACATTTAACTTTGTTTTGTCTCTCAGTAATCCTGAGTATAATTCAATCATTTTCCTAAGATAAAAATTTGAGTGGCACACTTTCCAATATTGCTCCTGCCTTCATATATATATATACATATATACGTATATATATATATATACACATATATATATATACATATATATACACATATATATATATACATATATATATACATATATATATATATACATATATATACATATATATATATATATTTAACTCTGCAACATTCACTTCTTTATATATATATACAGTAAGAAAAAGAGAGAGAGAGAGAGTGTCGCTCTGTAGCCCAGGCTGGAGTGCAGTGGCACAATGTCAGCTCACTGCAACCTCTGCTTCCTGGGCTCAAGCGATCCCTCCACCTCAGCCTCATGAGTAGCTGGGACCACAGGCATGCATCGCCATGCCCGGCTAATATTTGTAATTTTGTTTCTTGTAGAAATGGGGTTTGGCCATGTTGTCCACACTGTGCCTTCATATTTAAACATCATTTTTACTAGATTTAAAGTACTTGGATCTCAGCCCCTTTTCTTCAAAAATTGTGTAGAATATTGGTTTTCAATTTTTCTATCAATAGAAGTCCCACTATAAAAAATGTATTTAGCATCCTAATATTTAAAATAGATAAATTTGGATAATAATAGTTTACATTTATTTAGATTACTTGAGTACTTTTTTTACTACTAAGTTTTGATTGCTTCACTCATCCCCAGGATTGTCTGAGAACTTTACGCTCAAACTTCCACATGCCCAAGTTACAGAATAGTCATTTATATTTTTACGGCTCCAGGGCCCTTCTTCCTTAATATGGCAAGAAACTTCTAAATGTTTACTTTTTCTCAAAAGGCCAACACTGCTTCTCACTTAACTCTGCAAGCCATATCAAGATGCACCCTGAAGGCTAGCAGACTCCATAACTGTTACTGTTTTCTCTGTGCCTTAAAATGTGTATTTACCACTTATTTTCCTATATTAAGGAGTACACAGGAAAAGTCTGAGGACAGTCTGACATTAGTAGACAACATGATTTTATTTTAAATAGATGTATATATATTTTAATTTATCTTTATAATGTAATTTTTATCAAGATGTGTCTTAATGCAGGTATTTTCAAAAATTTACTTTGCCCAACTTGTTGGTGTGTTCCGTTAGGACCATAGGTCTTGTGGGGAGTAGAATTTCCTCTTAGATTCTGGTACCAAGAATCAGCCTTCATTCTCATTGTTTGTTTGTTATGAGGTTTCTTCATTTTGTTTGTTCTGAGTTGTTTATTTTTTCTTATACCTGCATGTGTTTATTAATGGAAACACATTTAACTCCGCATGATTCCCTTCTTTATATATGTATTCATGTAACCACGTGTTAAATAACACAGCCTTAACTTCATATAATACTTCAAATGCTAAGCAAATGAAACAGCCCTTTGATAATCTGCATTCTGGAGTGTGTTAATACATAGAATTCTTAATGCCTGAATACACACACATACACACACACACACACACACGCACATGCACACATACACACATTCTCTACATTTAGAATTAAAAATCAACATATCTTTTCAATTTAAAAATTATGTGAACAGATGATAAAGAATTGCAAAAATATAGTACTCTAGGTATAGATCTCCCATTCTATACTTTTGCAAAAAATATTTTGTTCATTATGTCAAGTCAAAACTATTAATATTACCTATGTATTCCTGACCATTGTCATGAGTTTCTGAAAATGTCACTCAGTTAAAATCCATTGGTCCAAAATTTAAATGTCTTAGGCTTTTTTGGTCTTTTGCCACATTGGGAGGTTGAAAGTAATGTTAATCATTCTACCTAGATTTGTTTGTAACAGACAAATACCTAAATTAATCAGTCATTTCTCACCATTAAGAAAATAGAAAGGCAAGTTACAGACTGGGAAAAATATTGACAATACATATATTTAGCAAAGACTGTTATCTAGAATACATAAACAATACCTACAACTAGATAATAAAAGCATAAACAACCCAATTAAAACCAAAACAGACACCAGTACATTCACACTAGAATCGTTAAAATTAACAAGAATGATAAAAGCAAGTATTGGTGAGACTGTAGAAAAACTTGGAATTCTCATATATTGCTGGTGAGATAGAAAAATAATATATACATTTTTAAAACAATTTGGCAGTTTGTTTTTAAAAAGGTAAAAGTAAACATACACCTACCATATGATCCAATAATTCTACTGAAAACATGTCCTCACAAATACCTGTGTATGAATGTTCATAGCAGCATTATTCACAATAGCCAAAATCTGGAAACATCTCAAATGTCTTTCAACTGGTGAATGGATAAGCAATTGAGGATCTATTCACACGATGGAATACTACTCAGCAATAAAAGCAAAATAAACTGTCAGGTTACATAACCACATAGATAAATCTCTAAGTCATTAAGGTGAACAAAAGAAACCAGGCACAAGTATTCTATAGTCTGATTTCATTTCCATTTAAATGACATTTTGGGAAACCTAATCTCATTCTTGGTGACTAAAAGCAGACCTGTAGGTCTTGAATACTGTGGGGTAAGAATAACCAACTGCAAAGGTGAAGGATATAATTCTGAAGGTCATGGAAAATATTCTAAATCTTGGGAGAGATGTTGGCTACGTGACTGTATATATTTTGTCAAAACATCAGACTGCATCCTTGAAATGGGTACATTAAATTTATAATTTTATTACATATAAATTATACCTCAAAAAACTTGATTTACAAATTATAATAGAAGAGTGTCAAGTTGAAAATTAAAAATGGTAGTATATCCCTGTAGTCTCAGCTACTCAGGAAGCTGAGGCAGGATAATCTCTTGAGCCCATGAGTTTGAGACCAGCCTGGGTACCAAATGGAGACCTCATCTCTAAAAAATAAATAAATAAAATAAAAATAAGAAAGGATGCAATATTATAACCTTGGTTAGTCTGAGATATATTCTACCAGTGGCAAAGAGAAGGCCAACAAATCTTCATTTGTGGAAACGAATGAACATGTGTAATATATTACAGGAGCTAAATCAGAGGTTCCACCGCCGGCAACTCTTTCTGTTTATAGCATCATATCAATCTGTACCTCCAAGTTATGTTCCTATATTGCCCTAATGAGCCATGTCACATGCTCAAGTCAACATGAGGTCAGTGTCTAGAACTCCGTGTTCCTTTCTCAGATCACCAGCTTGGCATACAGCACACATTCATCAAACGTTTTCTCTCCTGGGATTCTCACTTCCCTGTGACTGGCTTAGTCACTGCTCATAGAAAGGACAATAATAACTTTCACCAATTTACTTGAAGAGAATTCCTGAAGAATCATGATATATGCTGTGTTGACTTTCAGATTCTAGAAAATGAAGTGTTAGGTAAATAACCAATTTTAGCTCAAGAGAAGTTGCAGATATGTGTTTAACAACCTAATTAATAAGTGCAATAGAAGAAAATATAACTGATGAAATAACTAAATATTTTAATGGTTTTTAACTTTGTTTGCTTTGTTTCCCACTTTTACTAATTTCTATTTTGACTCCACATGCTGTGTACTTTTTATATAAAATAGAATCTATAAAAAGTACTTCCTGAATGTTCCAAGATTCTTCTCACTGAATTTTTTATAGTGCAGCAAAAGCATAAATTGGAGGCTGCTTCTTATGCATTAGGCAAAGATTATTTTCAGAAAATTTCTTGAAGTGGCAGTAAACTTTGACCTTCATTGCAATGTGAGGTAGAAGTCTAGAGCCATGGAATATTTTTTACTTGTTTTCCTTAGAGAATAATGGGAAAGGTCAGGGGGTGAAAATGTCCTCAAGCTACTTTGGAAAATGAGTTTATTCTAACTGCTAGAAAAAGCCACCTATGTTTTCTAAGCAGCAGGCCTGCTCCCAAAGCGTCTTTTGTTCAGTAATCTAGTGAGTCTCTAAACGGCATTGATTCACGTCAGAGCCCCACCTCATCCTGATTTGTCAGTTGTTAGCAATTTAGCTGCCATAGGTAAGTTTCAAGAGCTAGAAGCAAACTTAGGCCTAAGTCTTTCTGTGCATAGGGTAGAAGACTTCCTTATGAAAGAGAAATACAAGAAATACACACACACAACAGCAACCGCAACTACAACAGCCACCACCACCATTAACATCCTAATTACTTCTGAAGTTTTGAAACATGAAACCTACATTCTCAGGCTTAAAAGTCCAGAATCTCATACTCTACTATCCTGTCTCTGTAAGATTTATTGCTTTACTTGAGATGTTTTAACATTTTCTGTGTTATGAAAATGTGGCAAAGAACAGTATAAGTATATAAAACATATTAGTATTGGGTTGATTTTTCACAATGAGAAAAAAATGCTTGGCGTTATAATGGGATCTATTTGTGACCTTCTTTGAAATAGTAAATCTCCCCCTGCATGTTTATAAAGTACCATTTGATCTTCAAAACTTAGATCGCCATGAGCTTTTCAGAGACACATCATCAAAAACATTGTAGTTGATACTGACTGCTGATGTAACAAATTATCAAAAACTTATCACCTTAAAACATAAATTTATTATCTTACCATTGTGGAGGACAGACGTTAGAAATGGGTCTCACTGGGCTAATCAAATTGTCTACAGGGCTGAGTTCCTTCTGGAGCCTCCATAGGATAATCCAGTTCCTTACCTTATCCAGTTTATGAAAACCACATACAGGCCGGGTGTGGTGGCTCACGCCTGTAATCCCAGCACTTTGGGAGGCCGAGGCGGGAGGATCACAAGGTCAGGAGTTCAAGACCAGCCTGGTCAATATGGTGAAACCCCGTCTCTACTAAAAATACAAAAATTAGTCGGGTGTGGTAGCGGGTACCTGTAGTCCCAGCCACTTGAGAGGCTGAGGCAGGAGAATCTCTTGAACCCGGGAGGCGGAGGGTGCAGTGAGCCAAGATCACACCACTGCACTAAGACTCCATCTCAAAAAAAAAAAAAAAAATACATTCCATATCTTATGGCCTCTTCTAACTTCAAAGCCAGAAGCAGTGTAGTACTGAGAGAGCCAAGTATAAAGGGGTCCCCGGAGAAATCTCCAACTGGCCTGCACACCAGGAGAACAAGGTGGAGCTACGGAAGTTCACGCCCTTTGCAGGGGGCAGAAGCCTGGCCCCTCCCGTTCCAGTGTAGTAACCTGGGATTCAATAGGTGAGGTGGAAAGCCTGTTGGCAGGATTTCATCTCACTTTGTTGTGTTGTTTTTCCTTTTTTCTCTCTGCCCAATAAATTTCGTTCCCTCTCACTCTTCAAAGTGTCTGTGAGCCTAATCTTTCCTTGTTGTTTGACAAGAACCCGGTTTTTTCCTAAAACATGTTTGGTGCCCAGAACATAGGGCTTGAGGAAGGGTCAATATCATGCAAATCAAAAAACTTTTATTTTTCCTTTTGCTTCTAAGTCTTTTTCTTCTTGGACCTCTTCTGAGGGTAGAGAAAACTGCACACCGCCTCACCCCAATGGCAGCAGGCCCACACAGCTTCCCTGCTCCCCTCCTGGCCAGGACTGGGGTTCATGGCCCAAGGGTGCCCAGTGGCAGGCTGGCTGGCATTCCCTATCATGTGCCTCCAGAGTCTCCACCTCCCCTGGCCAAGGAGTCCAGCTCCATCCTCCAGCAATTAAGCTTCCCTCCAGGGTGGAGGAACTATTTGCCTAAGAATAAGAGGTTCTTCCCCAGGTTTCCTTTTTTCTTCTCCACCCTGTCAGCAGTTAACTTTTAAGTGAGGTTTTTGTTTGTTTGTTTGTTTGTTTTTTATGGAAGATGCTTTGCTGGGGCCAGGAATGATGGAGATTACTGTTTATATTTTCTGTAGAGTTTTAATTGTGAGAAAGAACTTGTGAGGCTGATCTTAAGCTGTAGCCAATCTAGTGTGCTTTGCATGTCTTTCTGTAGGGTTCATAGCAAACTTTGGGGCAGGCAGGCCTCCATCTTGTTTTAGCTCCTTGGGGGTGTGGCCTGTAAACCCACAGCAAGGCGTTGTATGGCGACTGCTTTTCTTCTACCTGCCTTTCTCCTTATGGCCCAGATTCACCCTGGCTTAGGGAATGAGGCCTTTCTGGTTTGATATCTGCATGACCTTCTGCCATCAGTTGATTCCCATCCCCTTGACGAACCACCTTGGATTTTTCTTTCTCTGAGCCTTTAGTAAAGTTTGAAAGCCAGAAATATTGGCTGCTTGGTGTGGCTAAAGTCGGATAATAAGGGAGTTAAAAGGATTTTCTTAAGGAGTGCTCGGCTTAATTAAAAGTGGATATCCAAGTTATATTTATAAGACCTTTACGTTATCGTATTCTTGAGCCTTGTTTTGCTGGAAAAAGGTTTTTTTTTTGTTTTGTTTTGTTTTTTTCAGTCAACTGAATTGATTTTTGCCTTGCCACTTTTAATGCACACATGACAGGGGAGAGTCCACTGGTTTCCTCATGAAACCCGGGGAAATAAAAGCAGATAAATCCCTGTACTCGTGATGAAAGATCTGATGGCAACTGCGTTTTCTTCGGCCTGTCTGTGTAGTTATGTATGTGTTGTGTGTATGATGTCTATAAAAAGAGCTCTAATTAATTGGCCTAAAGGAAGATAAGCACTTGGATCAAATATTTTTTAAAGGGAAGATAAAAGCTGTGGTACCTTTCAGTTCATGTGACTTAAACCGTTGAGAAAAAATAAAAACAGCCTTAAAGTTTATTGGTAAAAAGCAGATGTCATCAAAATGTAAATAGGTGAACTAAATTATGCAGATGAGATGCAAGGTTTGCTAAATGTTTTCAGGTACTGCTTATTGGTTTTTGAGAACTGTTCAACTCTGTAAGGCCTGGGGACATATGGAGTTAACCACACCCTTAATTATGCTGGAAGGAGTCAAACCTTGGCTGCACCTAGCACGTAATCAAAACAACTCACCAGGCTTTACATTAAAGTTAAAAATTACTAAAAGTTACCATTATGACATGTAATTGAGACCACTGGAAGTAGATTTACATGTGAGGTATGTAAGAATGGTAAAATGTGTTTTCAGCAAAAGGTTATAAGAAGGCATAAAAATGTAAATTCTGGCCTAGAGTTAATGGATTATTTTAAATTAGATAAGATAAAGCTAAAAGTTTAAAGAAGTGGTGGAGGGATTGGAAACATTAACCTTGCAAAAATTCTATGTTTTAACATATTGCCTAACTTCAAAAAGGTATTATAATTATATGGTTTTTCTGTAAATTGAACATTGAAATGAAAGCAGAACAAGGTACTCCTCAGGCACCAATCTGCTCTTCGCATAATTGATAAAGGGTTATAAAAGGTTTTAGCTGTTTTAAGTTTCTGAATCATCATTTTGGTAAAATAAATAATTTATGATAACTTGGAATTTCATTTCATAACATTAAATGTTTCATATGTTTAACATATTTAACAGGCTTCCCCAAATCAAACTTCAGGTTCAAAATTATCTTTCCTGACACCTGGCTTTTCAGATACTTCAGAAGGTCCCCTGGAGTACCAGAAAAGAGAGGTAAACAGGATTATTTGACATGTTTAGGCACAAGGGATTACCAAAACGGTGTTCAATATTCCTCAGTTTATATTTTGATGAATAATACCAATATATGTTCCAAAATTGTACACGATTTCTAAAATTCCAATGTCTAAAATATATGCTGTCAATCATAATTAAGGTTGTTAAGTTATTGTAAACCACAGAGGTAACCAAACTTCTTTGTCAATTGTGTATCTAACTGTAACTACCCTGGACATTTTGTTACTCACAGACAATTGTTGTCTTGTTTTAATCCTTTTCAAAATGATTTTTAATAAGCTATAGAATTCTGACAGGTGCTTTCAAATACACGTTTCTGATAACTTTGGAGATTGTGACATTGGAATAAAGGAGAACTATACAGGACTCATGAAGAGCCAAAATGTTGACGAATATCAAGCAGAACAGGAGTTAACGAAATGGACTAAACTCAGAAAGCTGAAGGAATCTTTTTGACTTTTGCTTGGAATAATGCTGATCCTTGCTTTGTTTTTCAGAGTCAAGGAAACTTATTTACTTATTTTGAACTATTTACAGCCTTTAATAATTGAGTAAGGTATATTCCTGTGAGCAAAATCTGGATCATGTTTGTTTCTCTCTGCCTGGTTCCTCTAGAATTTGGAAATTATCTGTGAATATTCTTAACTTGTGGCAACAGAGTTCTTTGCATCAGTGCAAGAAGGATGCAATTGGAGAAACTAGTTGTTTTACCAAGGCTTTGACTAGAAGGGTATGCTTCCCTTTAAGGAGTCAAGCTTGACATGCAGATCAGATAAAGGTCCCTTGGGGGAACTGGACTCATAGCCTTCTCTACACAGTCCCTTTACAGAATTCTTGACCTCTAGTCAGTAAAGAATGTCACTTTGTAATAGGCCCAGGAGCTCCAAGTTTATCTTGGGACCTTAAGAGGAGAGGATCACCCAACTCCCAGGTATTCGAGGATACAAACCCATGGCTGGACTCTGCTTTAAAAGGTCTTCTCTGAGATTCCTTGTGGAACCGAGTTTTATCAAAACCAATTTAAAAAGCTCATGTAGAAATAGCTATTCTTGCTGCACTTTATGCAAATAATCAGGCCAAGTATAAGACTAAAGTCTATTTTGCAAATAACTCAGTCCTACTATGATTTTTTTTAACAAAAATGAAGACTGGAGAGAGAGAAATTATGTCTCAAAACTTATCATATACTTGTCATTAAATTCTAAGCCCATTAGTTGTTTTTAAGTTTTTGCCTACATTTTAGACTAACCCGGCTTGTTCCTGTGAATCAACCAGCAATCTCCAGCTGCAGCTCAGAAGGAAAAAAGGGGATGGCTAATGTAGAAATCTGGATCAAAATTATAGTTCTGAGCAATTATCCTGCAAATCCTGCCAGGTGATGAGAATAAATAGGATGCTCGTCACCTGGAGGTTTCCTTTTTGGGAAAGTAAGACCAATGAAGCTAATCAAAGCCAAGCACCAAGTACCCAAATCTTAGCAAGCAAAACTATAGCTACCAGTTATCTGGGCATGTCACAATACATCCTTTTCTCTCCCTTGTTGGAGGAGAGGACTCAATTCTGCAGCTTCATCTTAGCATTTAGCTTATGATAAGGAGTCCATGGAACCCCACTGAGACACTTTTTTTTTTTTTTTTTTTGTCCCAAACTCAATTTTAAGCTTCAGGTCAAAGTCCTAGGAAAGAAAACTGGATCTAAAGGATCCAGAGGCAGGCAATAACAGAGGTTAAAAGGCACAGCACAGGTAAGCATGGCTAATTCCCGCCAATTAAGCCAAGCCTCCCGTTTCACGGATAAAGGTCATGCTAGTATCCATGACATAAATGAGGTCTAAGGGAACTCCAAAGCTACTGACAGTAGGGGAGATGGAGACATAGGTGAGAGCAGATAATTCCTATTCTCTAGGCCCTCTCTGCTTCATGGGGGCAGGCTGTTTTGGCACCCATGAGAGGCACCCTGTCATGGTCACTGGGACTCAGGGATACAAGAACGGAGGAAAGAAAGAGGAATGCTTCACTTTCCCTCCCTCACATACCCTGCGTATTTGCTAGGAAGAGAAGTGAACCAGGGATTCCTGCTCCCCTTTTTCTAGATAAGTAGCCATGCATCTTCAGTCTGTACCCCTTTTGAATGCATCCCGAACCCCTGGGACCCCTTTTAAAAATGCCTCCTTTTTTTCTTTCTCCTTCTCTGTCCTCTCTTCACTGATAGGTAATTGTATCTCCATACTATGGGACACTCCCCTTGAATGTATCCTCCAAACTGGGAAAAGTTAATTTCCCAAACCTTAAACTGGTGGGCTCAGGATTGGGCTCAGGGGAAGGGAACCAGAAGCCTGACATGCTGGCAAAGGGGTAAAAGTTTTTTATTAACCAGTCGGGCTTTTGGCCTCCCTCTCCCCATGCAAAATGGTAAAAGGCATCAGGATTTTTGAGCTATCCTTACCGCCCCTTTGTTTCATTTTGATACGTTTTCAAATAACCCAGTTTTTCTCTTCTTGCGTTCAGGCCATCAAACTCCAAATGGTCATGCAACCGGAGCCTTGGATGATGGTCCCCTCTGCCAGGGACCCTTAAATAGACCTCTGAGGGAGATCTGACTGCCGTTTTCTCAAAACAGCGCCCCCTGGCAGCAGGAAGCAGTTAAGATTGGTCTTCATCCTTAACTCTAATCCTTCTCACAATGGCAGTTAGATGCACTTCTTTAGAGCAGGGGATGAGACAGCCAAGTATAAAGGGGTCCCTGGATAATTTCTAACTGGCCTTCACACTGAGAGAATGGGGTGGAGTCATGAAAGTTCATGCTATTTACAGGGGCTGGGGGAGCCTGGCCCCTCCCGTTCTTGTGTGGTAACCTGGGATTCAATCAGTGAAATGGAGAGCCCGTTAGCAGGACTTCATCTCACTTTTCTGTGTTGTTTTTATTTTCCTTTTTCTTTTTTGCCCAATAAATTATATCCCACCTCGCCCTTCAAATTGTCTGTGAGCCTAATCATTCCTGTAATGTGACAAGAACCTGGTTTTTCCTACAACAGTACTTTCAATTTTCTGTCCTCCGGATTATGCTTCTGTCCTCAGATCTCCTTCTATGATGCTCTTGCCTTCCTTTTATAATGACTTTTGTGTATATTCTGCCTACTCAATAACTCAGGACAATCTTTTCATCTCAGGATCTTTAACTTAATGACATCTTCAAGTCTCTTATGCCACGGAAGGTAACGTATTAATGGATTCCAGGGATTAGGATGTGGGCATCTTTCTGGGGCCATTATTCTGTTTGCCGCCACATGATGACATGTTGTTTTCTGTCTTGGTCAAAAAAAGCATACTAATAAATCAATTCATACAGTTCTCTGTCCTTGCACAGAGAGCTGCAGTGTTAGAACAACTTATAACATTTGTATATGAGCTAGGTTTCGAATAATGCCATTGTCAGAGGATAAAATGCTGAAAATATTAAGTTTCATTGAACTAATCTTGAATGTGCTAAATTCAATTAAAATTTGTGACAGAAGCAATACCTATTCTAATTAATTGTTTACCCATTTTGTCAAGTTTATATATGGTATTTAGCACCCATTTCATCTATGTGATATCGAAGATGATGAACATACTGATAATTCTCTCTTACATGTTTAATTTGCCCAAGTAAATCCCCCTATTGAGTGAATGGATGTATTATTTATTCTTTAATAGCAGAGAATCTAAACAAATGTTTTCGCCATTTGAAGGTCACTTAGGCTTTAAGATGTTCTGTCATTATAGAGTCATAAAACTTAACGGCCCATGAACACTGCTGGAGTTCAACACCAAAGGCTAAATAGGATAAAACAATGCATTAATTATAGCCCATTATGACAAGCAGTTGGTAAGGGGAAATGTGGTTACATGGAAACTTTAAAATACATTAACAAATAAAACACTTTCATAACAGTAGCAACAGAAACTTTTAAAATACACACACACACACACCATATATATATATACATACACACACACACACACACACACACACACACACTCAACAACTTATCTATGTTTACTATTCCTGGCTCGTTTTCAGTTCCCGTGCATACACATACCTTGTTTAGACATGTGTGTCATGTTAATATAGATGAAAATTTGCATTCAGCTTTTTAAATTCTACCTGATGTATTATTTTTTTCAGGTAACTATGCAATGTTCATCACATTTTATCATTTTAATGGTTATAGTATATTCCAAAGAGAGTGTCTAACATGATTTTCTTGATTCTATGATCGAACTTTTATGTTGGTTGCCTTTTTTACCGTTATAAACACTGCTGCAGTGAACATTTTGTGTATTTTTTCTTCTGAGAGAATGGGAAGACTATTTTCTTGGTACAATTTTTACAGGATGTAATTTTTTTTTAATTAATGGAATTAATGAAATTTTAAAACAAATAATGGAAGAGTTTGCTCCATGTTCATCCATAGAGAAAGCCTCCTACTCCAGAGATAGCAAAAGTACAAAAAATATGCCAATGTTATTTTTCTACCAACATTCATACCATGCCTAAAGTCATTTTCCTGAAGACAGAGATAAAATTGTAGAACGTTCTGAATGACTGGGAAGTTTTACTGAACACATATTCGTCTTTGTTATATAGAGAAATGTTTCTTATATACTGGAGATTTGGGGAAGTGCAAAAGGCACAGTGATTAAAAAGACTATGCTACATGCCAATGGAACAAATTATGAAATTGCACACACAACTCACATCTATCATTAATATTAAGAAACACATTAAGTGTTTAATTTACTATTCATTTTTCCTCTCATCAGCATTTATTATAAAAAACACGGTATTAAAGTTCTACTTCTAAAAGCTGTATAAGTTGCAATATATGAGGGTGAGGAGAAGCATGTTAGAATTTTCAGAATATGTATATTTTAATATCAATAATAAAGTGTAATAAGTAGATTTGCTTTTTTCAGGTGATGGAATGATGCCAATTTCTAATTCATCATGCTGCTTGTCATTCTACGCCTAAATATACAAGGAGGAAAGTCATTTCATTAAAACTGGCGGAAAAATACTTAACAAACAAAGTGAGCCATGTATTAAAGTTACCAAGATGTGGGGGAAACTACAATAAATTGAGATGTTTTCAAGCTTTAATTTATTTACATTATGTAACTATATACCATTTACCTAAGGAATTACCAAGCATATATAATTTGACATTTAAGTAGAAAATATGACTAATATATGCCAAACATTAAAAGTTATACGTGTCTGATCAATAATGTGATGGAGGTCAGAATTTACATTAAAGAGAAAGGTGATTGGCTATCCTTATAAAAAGAGAATATTGTTTTGTTGGTTTTGTTTTATTTTTCCAAAATGGTGGTTTGGAGGCAGGGTTAACACATTTCTCCCACTTGGAAGGACAAACTAGTGTGTAGAGACTTATGTGTATTATTTTTCAAAAAGCAGGGAAGGAAGTTAACAGGAAAACTGAAAGAAACAACAGACCCTTTGTAAGAAGTGGCAGGCAGCAGTCTTCATTATGAGCCTGGTGGAAAACTGTAAGTCCCCAGACTGTGAGAGGGGGAAAGACTGCCTCCAGGATATATACTTCAACCATGGAACCTGGCAGTCTAGGCTTGGAGGAAGGGCTTAATCATATGCAGTGCTGAAAGTGACTTAGGAAGAGCTGGGAAATATGAAAATAGGAGCAGCAGCAGGAAGAGTTTTGTGGGCATTCCCAGTCTCCAGTGTGCACTGAAGGAAGCCATTTCTGATCCTAACTCCTAGGGGACCTCGTAGAAATCTGAGCACTAACTCAGACAGTGGTTGCAGGCTGAGAGAATCTCCCAGTTGAATTTTATAATACCATCTTAAGTGAAGACAAACTTCTTTGGCCAGAACTGAAGGGCAAGTGGAAAGGGTGCTGTAGGCATGAGCACAGGAGCTAGGCACCCTGATTTGGTGGGTAGACCGGGAGGAGTGTGGCCTAAAAGTCACTTTTGCTATCTCTTCAGGGAAAGCTTATGGCCTAGGGCAGTTGTGAGTTCTGAGTATAGATGGCCGGGAACGTAGCTAGCTGCTGCTAGGGAAACACTGCAGATGTGGGACCTTCTTTGCCAACTGCTTTAGAGCTGCACCAATGCCACCTGCTACTTCACACTCCTTGTGCAAAGTGTTCTGTGCAGCAGAAGCAACTATGCTTCACCCTGTAACTTTACCCAGTGGCCACAGAACGGCCTCTCAGCTCCCACACGGGGATGCTGCTTGACATGTACTTGGAGAGCCAGAGGACGGACCTGCCTAACCCAGCCCCCTCCTGACTTTGCCTCTTCATTTACCCAGGTAGCTTAACACAAATGATAGAAACTGTTGGATGCCTTACGGCCCCACCCATTGCCTGAGAAACCAGAATACCTCCCCTGGGTAACATAAGGCAAGCACAGATCCCACCATTACTACCACAGATTGCATTCTTTTGCAAATGCCACCTCCTGGCTGGAGGTCAACTGACACAGATAATTACAACATCTCCAGGTAGAATGTGTCCAGGAAAAAGAAAACGTATATGACCCCAGCTATCACCATTGCCTGCAACACCCCAGCTAACCAGGACGTCCTTAGTCTGTCCACATGATCAGTTCATTATTACTAAAACCAGCATTTGAGAACGCCAACACACTAAGGCTGCCTATAACCAAGCAATCACATAGAGTCTACTTCACTGCCCTCCCAGCTCTGTTAGAGCTGGTGCTGATACCCACTGTTGAGAGACTTCAGGAGAGGTCACATTACTGGATCCCTTGCAGTCATTCCCCAACACCAACCTGGAGTGTGGCAGCCCCATTGGGCAGCTAGACCCAGAGGAGCAGCAGCATGCACAGTAGTCTGATTCTCAGGGACTCCTACTTCTAGGCAAAGGGAGAGTGTACCACATCAAGGGAATACTCCATAAGACAAAATAATCTGGAAGGCAAACCATGAGTCCCAGAACTTTCTGCTGGTGGGAAGTTTCTTCTAGCAGTGGCACAAGTTCAGTGCTGGCCTCTGTGGGAAATTATTCAACTCTACCCCAATAATTAGGCAGCCCTGGTGCTCAGGAAGGGTTGTGAAAAAGGGAACATTTTGTCCCTTTTGTCCATAAGTGCAGGCTCAACTAGGGTTTATTCCATGAGACCTCAGCATGGGTGTCCATATAAACAGCCTTTCTGGAATACTTCAGGGTGGCTGTATCCCCACAGAAGGAGTGCTCTGCAGCTTCAGGCTGGCATGAGGGGTAGAGTCACAATTCCTCTCTACGTGGAACATCAACATGCCTGCAGATGAAAAGAGATGCCCCTCTCATGTAAATAGCTGAAACACTGGGTCAGGAGTGAGTCTGGAAGGTGGATCACTTTCCTGCAGGCCTTGCAGCAAAGCTGAAGTTGCTCCCACCCTTCCCACTGATAAGACCTCAGTGCATTTCACTGAGAAAGAACTCCATCGGTCATCTCTCTCAAGGCTGGGACATATGCCCACCATTGTGTGTTGCATTTATTCACATCTTTTAGCCACAACCAGTTTCTACTTTGGACACCCCCCCTACTGGCCTGAACAATTTAATTCATTAAATAAAATACTTGAGGAAATAAATAAGAAATTGCACACCACAGAAGAATGAGATAAGCTTCAGAGACCTCTGCCATTCTAACCCCATAGGAGACAGTGAACCTGCTCACACACCCTGTCACATTGCTACTACAACAAGCATCTGTGAAAGCCATCATATGAAGACTCTCTATAACCAAGGAACCTATACAGAATATTTTTCTCTGAAAGCCCCAAGAGATAAATTAGGCTACAATAAACGGAAAATGTTAAACTCACATCCTTAATAGGGAAAATAGATTTTTAAAAACCCAGAGAAATTAAAACTAAACTCAAGAACAATTAAAATAAATAGTCTACCCAATTGAGAAGGAAGCAGAAAAATAATTCTAGTAATATGACAAAACAGGGTACTGTAGTACCCCCAAAATATTACACCAGATCTCCAGCAACAGATTCAAACCAAGATGAAATCTTTGAAATAACAGATAAACAATTCAAAAGGTTGATTATTAAGCTACATAAGGAGATACCAGAGAAAGTGAAAATGAATATAAATAAATTAAGAGAACAATGGAGGACATAAATGAAAAAATCATAAAGAGATTTTTTTTAAAAAAATAAAAACTTCTGGAAATAAAGAAAACACATTTAGGGAATTACAAATGTAATTCTGAAAGAAAGAATTTCAGAGCTCAACGACAAAGCTTTTAAATTAACCCAATCAGAAAAAAAATAAAGAAAACAGAATAAAAAGTAACGAACAAAGTCTCCAATATAAAATCATATATAATGGCCAAATTTAATAATAATTGGTGTTAGTCAGGGAGAAGAAAAAGCAAAATTTTGGAATACTTATTTAAGGGAATAATTGAGGAAAATGTTGCTGGCCTTGCCAAAGACTTAGATATCCAAATACAAGAAGCTCAAAGAATTCCTGGGACACTCATTGCAAGAAGGAAATCACCAAGCCTTATAGTCACCAGGCTTCCTAGAGTCAACAAGAAGGAAACAATTCTAAGAGCAGTGATACAAAAGCATCACGCAACCTATAATGGAAAACCCATTAGAATAAAAGCAGATTTATCTGAGTAAACCTTACAAGCCAGAGGAGACTGGGGTTCTATCTTTGCCTCCTTAAACAGAATGACTGTCAGTCAAGAATTTTGTATCCAGTAAAACTAAGTTTAATAAATGAAGAAATAAAGTCATTTTCAGACACCCAGATGCTGGGTGAATTTGTCACTACCAGACCAGCTCTACAAGAAATAATACAAAGAGTTCTAAATCTTGAAACAAAAGCTCAATATACATAAAAATAGAAACTCTTGAAAGCATAAAACTCACAGGGCCTATAAAATACTAACACAATAAAAGCAATGTATCTATGTAAAAATTAACAAAAACACTGAAAAAAATATCTGACACCTCAATATCAATGTTGAACATCAGTGGTCTAAATGCTCCACTTAAAAGCTACAGATTGGCAGAATAAATAAAAATATCAAAAACACAGACCAAGTCAGGTGTGGTGGCTCATGCCTGTAATCCCAGCACTTTGGGAGGCCCAGGTAAGTGGATCACTTGAGGTCAGGGGTTCAAGACCAGCCTGGCCAATATGGTGAAACCCCGTCTCTACTGAAAATACAAAAATTAGCTGGGCATGGTTGTAGATGCCCATAATCCCAGCTACTTGGGAGACTGAGGCAGGAGAATCACTTGAACCTGGGAGGCAGAGGTTGCAGTGAGCTCAGAACATGCCACGGCACACCAGTGTGAACAACAGAGTGAGACTCCACCCCCCCCCCAAAAAAATTTGTTGTCTTCAAGTGACTCAACTAACATATAAGGATTTATATAAACTCAACGTAAAGGGGTAAAAAAAAAAATCCCATGCACATGGGAACCAAAAGCAAGCAGGAGTAGTGACTTTCTATCACATAAAACAGATTTACAATAGCAGCAGTAAAAAAAAGACAAAGAAGGTCATTATACAATGATAAAAGTATTAACTCAGCAAGAAGTTATTATAATTTTAAATTTATATTCACCTAACTCTGTAGCTCCCATATTCAAAAAAAAAAAAAAACTACTACTAGACCTAGGAAATAAGATGGAAAGCAACACAATAGTAGTGAGGGACATCAGTACTCCACTGACAGCACTAGATAGATCACTGACACAGAAACTTAACAAAAAAAATGGACTTAAACTACACTGTAGAACAAATGGACCTAATACCTATTTACAGAGCATTCTACCCATGACCTGCAGAATATACATTCTTCTCATCAGCACATGGAACATTCTACAAGGAAGACCATATGATAGGTCACAAAACAAGTCTCAATAAATTTTAAAAAATCATATCAAATATCTGCTTAGACAACAGTGGAATAAAACTAGCAATCAATTCCAAAAGGAACCTGAAAAACTACACAAATACATGAAATAAACAATCTGCCCGTGAATGATTTTGGGGTTAACAAGAAAATCAATATGAAAACTTAAAAATATTGAAATGAATGATAATAAGTTTATAAAACTAAATGCCTACATCAAAAAGTCTGAAAGATCACAAATTGACAACCTACTATTATACCTAAAGTAACTAGAGAAACAAGAACAAACCAAACTAAAAATGAGCAGAAGAAAAGAAATAACAAAGATCAGAAAACTAAATTAAATTGAAACAAAAAATACAAAAAAGGACACAAAAAGTAGTTCCTTTGAAAAGATAAACAAAATTGATGGACCACTAGCTTGATTAACCAAGAAGAGAGAAATTCAAATAATCTTGATTAGAAATGAAAATGGAGGCATTACAGCCAGTACCACAATAATACAAAAGATTATTTGAAACTACTGTGAACACCTCTATGTACAAACCTAGAAAATCTAGAAGAAATGTATTAAGTCTCAAAAACATACAAGCTTCCTAGATTAAATCAGGATAAAATAGAGACCCTAAACAGATCTATAACAAGCAGTAGGATTGAGTCAGTAATTTAAAAATTGGCAAGAAAAACAGCCCAGTGCTGGATGGATTCACAGCTGAATTCCACCAGCATTCAAAGAAAAATTGGTACCAATTCAACTGAAACTATTCCAAAAGATTGAGAAACAGGAAATCCTCCCTAACTCATTCAGTGAAGCCAGTATCAAAAGCATACAAAAACATAAATTAAGGAAAGAACACCATATTTAATAAATGACGATGGGAAAACTAGCTAGCTACACATAAAAGAATGAAACTGGATTTTTATCTCTCATCTGAAATGAAAATAGACTCAAGATGAATCAGAGACTTAAATCTCAGATGTGAAACCATAAAAATTCCAGAACATGACGTGAAAAACTCCTCTGGACATTGGCCTAGACAAAAAATGTATGAATAAAACCCCAGAAGCAAATGCAGCTACAATAAATGGGACCCAATTAAACTGAAAAAAAAAAAAAAAACTCTGTGTAGCAAAAGAAAAAATTATCAGAGTAAACAGCCCACAAAATGGGAGAACATATTTGCACACTATGTGTATTTGTCTGTTCTCACACTACTACAAAAAGCTACCTGAGACTGGGTAATTTATTTTAAAAAGAGGCTTAATTGACTCACAGTTCTGCATGGCTGAGGAGGCCTCAGGGAATTTACAATCATGGTGGAAGGCAAGGAGGAAGCAAGGCATGTCTTACATAGCATCAGGAGAGATAGAGAGTGAGGTGAGAAGTGCCACACTTTTAAACCATCAGATCTCCTGAGAACTCACTCGCTATTACGAGAACAACATGGGAAAACGCTACCACCATGATGCAATTACCTCCCATCAGGTTCCTCCTCTGACACATGGAGATTATAATTTGACATGAAATTTGGATGGGGACACAAAGCCTAACCATATTATTCCACCCTTGGCCCCTCCCAAATCTCATGTCCTTCTCACATTTCAAAACACAATCATGCCCTCTTAACAATCCCCAAAAGTCCTAACTTATTTCAGCATCAACCCAAAATGCAAGTCCAAAGTCTCAGCTGAGATAAGGCCAGTCCCTTCTGCCTATGAGCCTGTAAAATCAAAAACAAGTTAGTTACTTTCAAGATAAAATGGGGGTACAGGCATTGCATAAATGCCTTCATTCTAAATGGGAAAAATTGGCCAAAACAAAGGGGCTATAGGCCCCATGAAAGTCCGAAACCCAGCAGGGCAGTCATTAAATCTTAAAGCTCCAAATAAGAACCTTTGACTCCATGTCTCACATGAAGGGCATGCTGATGCAAGGGGTGGGCTCCCAAGTCTGTGGGCAGCTCTGCCCTGTGATTCTGAAGATTACAGCCACAGCTGATGCTTTCATGGGCTGAAATTGAGTTTCTGCAGCTTTTCCAGCCACAGGGTGCAAGCTGTTGGTGGATCTGCAGTTCTGGGGTCTGGGGCACCGTGGTTCTCTTCTCACAGCTTCACTAGTCAATGCCCCAGGGGCAAATATGTGTGGGAGCTCCAAGCCCACATTTTTCCTCTGCACTGCCATAGTGGAGGTTCTCCATGAGGGCTCCACCCTTGCAGCAGACTACCTGGATATCCATTTGCTTTCATACATCCTCTGAAATCTAGGCAGAGGTTCCCAAAGCTCAGTTTGTACCTTCTGCACAGCCACAGGCCCAACACCACATGTAAGCTACCAAGGCTTGGGGCTGCCACAAGGTCTATGACATGTCCTGAAGACATTTTCCCCATTGTCTCAGGCTATTAACAGTCAGCTTCTCTTTAATTATGCAAATTTCTGTAGCCAGCTTGAATATCTGCTCGGAAAATGGGCTTTTATTTTCTACCACATGGTAATGTTGCAAATATTCCAAATTTTTATGCTCTGCTTCCCTTTTAAACATAACTTTCAATTTCAGATTATCTCTTTATGAATGCGTATGAGATTATACTGTTAGAAGCAGCCAGGTTATTTTTTGAATGTTTTGCTGCTTAGAAATTTCTTCTGCCAGATATCCTAAATCATCTCTCTCAAGTTCAAAGTTTCACAGATCTCTAGGGCAGGGACAAAATACCACCAGTCCTGTTACTAAAGCATAGCCAGAGTGACTGTATTAGTTTGTTCTCACACTGCTATGAAAAGATACCTGAGACTTGGTAATTTATAAAGAAGTTTAATTGACTCAGTTCCACATAGCTGGGGAGGCCTGGGGAAACTTACCATCACGGCAGAAGGCAAAGGAGAAGCAGGCACCTCCTTCACAAGGTGGCAGGATGCAGTGAGTGCAAGCAGAGGAAATGCCAGATGCTTGTAAAACCATCAGATATCATGAGACTGACTCATCATCACAAAAACAGCATGGAGGAAACTGACCCCAAGATCCAGTTACTTCCACCTGGCCCCACCCTTTGGGAATTCCCACATGGGAATTACGGCGATTACAATTCAGGGTGAGATTTCAGTGCAGACACAGAGCCAAACCATATTATTCCACTCCTGGCCAGTTTCAAATCTCATGTCCTTACGTTTCAAAACATAATCATTCTCTTCCAACAATCTCCCAAATTATTAACTCATTTCAGCATTAACCCAAAAGTCTTAAGTCCAAAGTCTCATCTGAGACAAGGCATGACCCATCCGCCTATGAACCTATAAAATCCAAAGCCACTTAGTTACTTCATAGATACAATTAGTATACAGGCATTGGATAAATACACCTATTGCAAATGGGAGATATTTGCCCAAACAAAGGGGCTACAGGCCCTATGCAAGTCTGAAATCCCGTGGGACGAAAATTAAACCTTAAAGTTCCAAAATGACCTTCTTTAACTCCATGTCACACATACAGGTCACACTGGTGCAAGAGGTGGGCCCCCATAGCCTTGGGTAGCTCCGTCACTGGGGCTGGCTTTCCAGAGTACAGCCCCCCTCCCAGCTGTTTTCACGGGCTAGTGTTGAGTGTCTGTGATTTTTCTGGGTGCATGGTGTAAGCTGTCAGTGGATCTACCATTCTGAACTCTGGAGGATAGTGGCCCTCTTCTCACAACTCCACTAGACAGTGCCCTAGGAGGAGCTCTGTGGAGGGCCTCCAACCCCACATTTTCTTTCCACTCTGCTCTGGCAGAGGTTCTCCATGAGGGCTCTATCCCTGCAGCAAACTTCTGCCTGAACATTCTGGTGTTTCTATACATCTTCTGAAATCTACGCAGAGGTTCTCAAGCTTCAATTCTTGACTTCGGCTCACCTGCAGGCAAAACACCATGTGTAAGCCACCAAGGCTTGGGGCTTGTATCCTCTGAAGCAATGGCCTGAGCTGTATATTGGCCCCTTTTAGCCTTGCCTGTGATGCAGGGCTGTGATCCAAGTCTCGAGGCTGCACAGAGCAGCAGCAGGGCTCTGGGCCTGGTACCTGAAACTATTTTTTCCTCCTAGGCCTCTGAGCCTGTGATGGGAGGGGCTGCCATGAAGACCTCTAACCTACCCTGGAGACAATTTTCCCCATTTACTTGGTAATTAGCAATCAGCTCCTTGCAACTTTCTGCATCTGGCTGAAATTTCGCCTCAGAAAATGAGTTTTTCTTTTCTATCACATGGTCAGACTGCAAATTTTCCAAACTTTTTGCTACGCTTCCCTTTTAAACATAAATTTCAATTACAGGTCATTGCTCTCAAGTTAAAAGTTCCACAGATCTTTAGGTCAGGAGCAAAATGCCACCAGTCTCTTTGCTTAATCATAGCAAGAATCACCTTTATTCCAGCCCTAAGCAAGTTCCTCATCTTCATCTGAGACCACCTCAGCCTGGACTTCAACTTCATTGTCGGTATCACCATCAGCATTTCAGTCAGTGATCTAACAAGTCGCTAGGAAGTTCCAAACTTTCCCAGTTCTTCCTGTCTATTTCAGAATCCTCCAAACTCTTCCAGCCTGACTGTTACCCAAATCCAAAGTTACTGTCACATTTTCAGGTATCTTTATAGCAGCACCCCACTACCTCAGTGCCAATTCAGTGTATTAGTCAGTTCTCATGCTGCTATAAGGAACTGCTGGAGACTGTATAATTTATAAAAGAAAAAGGTTTAATTGACTCACAGTCCTGTATTGCTGGGGAGGCCTCAGGAAACTTACAATCATGGCAGAAGGCAAAAAAGAAGCAGGCATCTTGCCGGGTGTGGTGTCTCACACCTGTAATCCCAGCACTTTGGGAGGCAAAGGTGGGCAGATCACCCTGAGGTTGGGAGTTTCAGACCAGCCTGACAAACATGGAGAAACCCCATCTCTACTAAAAAATACAAAATTAGCCAGGTGTGGTGGTGCATGACTGTAATTGCTGCTACTTGGGTGGCTGAGGCAGAAGAATCACTTGAACCTGGGAGGCAGAGGTTGCAGTGAGCGGAGATCATGCCATTGCACTCCTGCCTGGTCAATAAGAGCAAAACTCTGTCAAAAAAAAAAAAAAAAAAAAAAAAGAAGCAGGCATCTTCTTTACATGGTGGCAAGACAGAGTGAGTGCAAAATAGGGGAAATAACAGCTGCTTATAAAACCATCAGATCTCCTGAGACTCAGTCATTATCACAAGAACAACATGGGAAAAGCCACACCCATTATCCAATTATCTTCACCTGGTCCTGCCGTTGACACGTGGGGGATCGTGGGGATTACAATTCATGGTAAGATTTGAGTGGGGACACAGAGCCAAACCATATCAGTGGCCTTAATTCCAGTTCCCAGTAAGTTCCTCATCTCCATTGAGACCACCTCAGCCTGGATTTCGTTGTCCATATCGCTGTCAGCATTTTGTTCAAAACCATCAACAAGTCTCTATGAAGTTCCAAACGTTCTCACATCTTCCTGTCTTCTTGTGAGCCCTCCAAACTGCTTCAACCTCTTCCCATTACCCAGTTCTAAAGTTGCTTCCACATTTTCAGGTATCTTTATAAGAGTGCCCTACTCCCAGTACCAACTTTCTGTATTAGGCCATTTTCACACTGCTATAAAGAACTATCTGAGACTGGGTAACTAATAAAGAAAAGTTGTTTAATTGAGTCACAGTTCTGCATGATTGGGGAGGCCTCAGGAAATTTATAATCATGGTGGAAGGTAGAAGGAAAGCAAGGCACATTTTACATGGCAGTAGGAGACAGAGAGCAAGGGGCGAAGCGTCACACTTTTATAGCATCAGTTCTCATGAGAACTCACTATTATAAGAACATCATGGAGGAAATCCACCCCCATGATCCAATCACCTCCCACCAAGACGCTCCCCTGACATGTGGGGATTACAATTTGACATGAGATTTAGGTGGGGACATAGAGACAAACCATACCACTATGCCTGTGACAATGAACTAATATTCACAATCTAGGAGGAACTCAAATCAGCAAGAAAAAAAATCCTATGAAAAAGTGGGTGAATTCCACAAATAGACATTTCTCAAAAGAAGATATATAAATGGCCAACAAACAAATGAAAAAAAAAAAAACGTTCAACATCAGTAATCATCAGGAGAATGCAAATTAAAACTACAGTAAGATACCACCTAACCCCCTGCCAGAATGGCCATTATTAAAAGGTCAATAAAACAATAGATGTTGGTATGGATGTGGTAAAAATGGAATGTTTATACACTGCCAGTAGAAATCTAAAGTAGTCCAACCTCTATGGAAAACAATATTGAGATTTCTTAACGTACAAAAATTTAATCTACCATTCAATCCAACAGTCTCACTACTGGGTATGTACCAAAAGGAAACAAAGTTATCATATTACAAAGACACCTGCACATGGGTGATTATTGCAGCACAATTCACAGTTGCAAAGATATGGAATCAACCTAAGTGCCCCCTGACCAATGAGTGGATAAAGAAAATATGGTATATATACACCACTGAATACTACTTACCCATAAAAAATGTGAAACAATGTCTTTTGCAGCAACTTGGATAGAGCTGGAGGCCATTATTCTAAGTGAAGTATTATAATAACTCAGGAATGGAAAACCAAATACTTTATGTTCTCACTTATAAGTGGGGACTAAGCTATGGGTATGCAAAGGCATACAGAGTGAAATAGTAAACACTGAAGACTCAGAAGGGAGAGGTTTGTAGTTGGCTGAAGGATAAAAAACTACATGTTGGGTACAATGTACAATACTCTGGTAACTGGTGCACTAAAACCTCAGAATTCACCACTATACGATTCATCTATGTAATTAAAAAAAAAAAAAAAAAAAACATTTGTGGCCAGGTGCAGTGGCTCACGCCTGTAATCCCAGCACTTTGGGAGGCCGAGGTGGGCGGATCATGAGGTCAGGAGATCAAGACCATCCTGGCTAACACGGTGAAACCCCCTTCTCTACTAAAAATACAAAAAAATTAGCCGGGCATGGTGGCAGGTGCCTGTAGTCCCAGCTACTGAGGAGGCTGAGGCAGGAGACTGGCATGAACCCAGGAGGCGGAGCTTGCAGTGAGCCAAGATCTCACCACTGCACTCCAGCCTGGGCAACAGAGAGAGACTCCGTCTCAAATAATAATAATAATAATAATAATAATAATAATAATAATAATAATAAAACTTGTACCCCAAAAGCTATTGGAATAAAAAATGTTTAAGGAAATTTCAACCTGAAAAAAAGAGCATATCTTTCAGTGGACTGTTCCTGATCACAATGTTTTGATTCTCCAGAGAATTCCCAATGCTCCAACATTTGCTTACTATAAGAGAATACTGATACATTCAAAATGTAAATTTCATGACTGAAGATTCAATTACATGTTATTAAGAATAAAAGAATCAAACCTGAATCTCCACTAGAAGCTGTTGAAATTATAATAATGATCAATTTTCTGAAAGGATAATCTTTAGGATATGAAGAGCTATTATTAGTTTGTAAACACCAAAGAACTTACACTATGTGGCATGATTGGTTTCTGTGAACAATGCTGAAATTTGCATTTGGTCTCTTTTCAAGAGTATTATTAAGGTGAGTGTTCATTTCTGCCTGAATTTCTATGTTATTTATATTTTAGAACATGTAAGTTTTCATTCATTAAGTCATTCTGAGCTCCTATTAAGTGTCAGTTACTGTGAGCTTATCAGTTAACAAGACAGACAAAAATTGATGCTCTCTGTATAGATATCTTTTTATGGCACATATTTTTTTTCTTTCACAAAAACATCAAAAGAGCCCATTATTATTGGTAAAACAGAAAAAAAAATCATAGTGGCATTCTTGTCAAATGTGAGGCCTTATTTTAGAATTACACTGAAGAGTATGACAAGCAGCAATATATTTCTCTGAATACCAGATAAGAAATAAATAACACAAGCCTGCAGAAGTGTGAGAATTTACACCAAGTTTGTTTTTTTAAAAAAAATATTTAACAGAGGTCTGATCAGTAACTCACCCTTCTGTTGTAGGTGGGCTCAACCAGAAGCAAAAAGTTTTGCATCCCTCTCTTTGCTACCAGGTTTTCTCTGACCAGTCTCTCCCAATAATAGCACTGGTTGACACAAAGAGAAAGGGAGTAGCCAATAGGTTACTCACATCTGCTTTATTTTCATACAATCTAGGTCCCCAAGCTATCCCTAGCTATGTTGCTCGAAGGAGAAATGAAAAAACACAAGGTTAGACTACTAGTTGTATTTTTGTATCATGTTTCTTCTGAGAAGAAAAAAAATTGGGTAATCCTGGGATTGCAGAAATGTATAAATGACCTCCAACTAAATGAGAAGTTGACAGCAGGAAGAGACTGAAACTTGTAGCCAGCCAACAGGGGCTGCTTTTTTAGTTACTAACCCACTATGGCAGAGGCAGGTGGTCTCATTTTCAGGGGCTTTTAAAAGCAATGAATGTTTTGCATATAGGCTACAAAGGAAGTGAATCACTTTTCATATATTTTCAATGCAATTTTATAGTCAACAAATTCTAAATATTTTAGCTATCCATTTCTGCCCATGCTTCAAAGAATAAATGCAACACTTGTTATTATTGCGTCATCTTTAAAGCAATATTTTGTTAGGATTTAGCTAATTTATGCCAGTATACAATTAAATAATTATTCAAAGTATTGTAGTGAAGTCTAAAAAGACTATTAGAAATCTACCCAAATACCATCCAGAAAACATTAAAAAATATACAATCAGTGGAATAACAGCCTCTGGGGGTTTTCCAGTATCACCTTGGACACCTTCGCAGCATGGTAGAAAATGATGTCATAGCTTATCAATAGCCAAGCCAAATTTCATTTGCCTTTGGTATTTGAAGCTTGAAATTCACTCCCTACATGGTCCTTTCATATTGTACTGAGGACTAAGCTCTGATATTTTATGTTGCCCAAATTCCTAGCCAAGGAGTCTAGAGAGTCATGCCCTACAAACCATCAACTCTCATCAGATGGGTTTTATTTGACCCTATAAATTGTGACTTACTTTTCAGTCTAACTCTGGCATAACATTAGGAGACAAGGAAAACATATTTAACCCCAAAATATATTTCTTTGCCATACCTTGAAATTGCCCTGCAAAGTCTTTTATGGGAAAAATCCACATTCTACAGAGACTCTCCTTCCCCCTTTGTCTTCCTTCCTTTCTTTACAAATCCAGGAGATAATCAACAAAGAGCCAGGCACTCTTTTAGGTTTGATAAGAAACATTTTACAATCTGCTCTCCCTCTGAAGTCTGCTATCTGAGGGATTTCTCTGCACAATAAAACTTGGTCCCCCCAATCTTTTATTTTAACCTGAACATTCCTTTCCATTAATCCCAGGTCTTCAGATAAACTCAACCAACTGTCCACAAGAAAATGTTGAAATTATCTATAGCCTAGAAGCCCCGCTTTAAGTTGTCCCGCCTTTCTGAACCAAACCAATGTATTTCTTAAATGTATTTGATTGATGTCTCATGCCTTCCTAATACATATAAAACCAAGCTGTACCCCAACCACCTGGAGCACGTGTTCTCAGGACCTCCTGAGGGCTGTGTCACGGGCAATTGTAACTCATAGTTGTCTCACATTAAATCTCTTCAAATATTTTACAGAGTTTGACTCTTTTTGTCGACAATAATCTGGCACCCAAACATGTGGAGCCTCAGAGAAGACTCAGAACCCCTAAGAAGTTGCCCAAAACTGGAGCTAAGGTACCAGCAGGGGCCCACTGAAGACTCACCGAGTCTGAGCTTCTCCTCTAGTGGAACTGGTAAGTCCTCCTGAGCCCTGGACCTTCCATTTTGGTTGATGGTACTTGATTTATTCTGAGCTGGTTTTTATTTTCTCTCTCTTTTCTCCCAGGAATTTGGTTGAAATCTTAATTTTAGTTTCAGAGGTGCATTCAGAAGGGTCTTTCTCTATTTTTTTCTATCAGAATTAATCTCAATTGGGTTGTCTGTATGCATTTTGCCTGAGGAACTGAACTGTTATTTTTCATAAGTAAATGAGAGACTGAGTTCCTCACCTCCAAAGAGAAGGGGCATTTTTCTCCTTCCAGCTGAAAGGCGCCCTTGGGTGACCAGGGGCCTCGTGGAGTCTCTAGGGGGTTGATCCCCCGTGACGTGCAGCGGCCCTATGGGAAACACCTCAACAAATATTGATTTAAAAAGGCTTATCCAGGAAACACATATAAGGGCTGATCACCCGGTGTTTTGAGCCCTCTCAGAGGTAATAGAGCTCTGAAGAGAGAAACTGAGACACGTAAGAGGGTAGAAACGACTCAGTGGTGACCCACTGTGGAGTCCTTCCCACAAGCAGCACATATTGATCCACAACACAAAAACCCTAGGCCACAGGTCAGTTCCCCCCACCCTACCCCCCCAAAAAAAGAGAGAGAGAGATTGGATGGGAAATAAACCCTCCAAAAAAGAGGAAAGTCAAGGTGAGCAGCCCTCTATGGGCACCCAAGCTCAGTTTATGTTTAATAATTATGGCACTATTACTTGCAAGTATTTATGTAAATGCGAAGATGTTACTAAAGATTACCTAGGTCTGAGGTTTCTAAAATGGGGAACTTTTGATATCCCTAAATTGGTTTTCTTGCATGCTAGATTGGAAAAATTAGGCTCCCAAATCAAAGAAAATGAATGGGAGTCATACTTTAGCTGGCACCTAGAATCATCAAAAAGAGGGAACAATAAGGTTGCCTTCCTCCAGGAAGTTAATAAAAAAATGTTTGAAACTCTCTCAGATTTAAAGAAATTAGTAGAAGCCACTTCTGAAATCAGGAAGGCTCCAGAAACTGTCTCCCCTCTGCTTCTCCTGACCCTCTGCTCTCTGAACTTCCTTGTCTGGACAATTTCATTTTTCCTCTTTCTTTCCCTACCCCCTCAAGACACAGGGGGACCAGAAATAGCTGGAGAAAATAATATAGTAGTTGCTCTTTTTAGAGTAAAACCCACAGACAGAGAAGATTCTAACATGATACATACCCCCTGGACCAAATCAGAATTTAAGGCCCTGGTATCTGGATTCGCCAATCCAACTGAAGATCTCTTTGGGTTTCCTAAGGAGTTCCAATTAATGCTTAAGACATGTTATCCAGGGTTCTCTGACCTATATCAGCTGATTGAGTTACTGGTCCCCAAAAACAAAGCTGAAGAATGGTTTAGGGTAGCAGATTGGAAACAGTCTTTAGAAGATTTTGACAGAATAGATGCAACTGGTAGAGAGAAATACAGAGAGCTTTGCAATCACCTCTGTGAAACTATACCACAGATATTCCCCAAGGTTATAGATTGGGCAAAGGTGCAACAATGTAAAATACGCCCAAATGAAACCATACCTGACTTTTATATCAGGTTTGAAAAGACATTCAAACAGTTTTCAGGAATACCTCATGAAAACTTTGAGCACATTAGAAGTGACACCTTACTAAATTCTGAGTTTATTCAAGGTTTAGATAAGGAGTTAGCAACCCTAATAAAGAGGAATAATGTGGCTTGGGGTTCCTTGCCCCACTAGCCACCTAGTCACCCTAGCTGACCAATTGTCACAATCATTAAGAAAGAAAAGGACGGAGTCTCTAAAATTATGAGTTTACAACTAAAACAACTTAGTAACCAAGTTGGGAGTTTGCAAGGGTCCCATGTTTCCCAGAGATCTAAGCAACCCCAAAAGAAAGCAACTTGCCACCATTGCAAAAAGAAAGGGCATTTAAAGAAATAATACAAAAAACTTAAATGGGTGATTGCACAAATTGGGCAAAGGGCCCCAGAGGAAGGCACTAGAACAACTCAAAAATCAGAATAGGGATGCTCTGAGGGCATAGAGAGGGTTTTCCCTCCACTTCTAACTAATGATTTAAGAGAAGCAGAAATATCCATAAATGGAGAAAATACCAAAGTCCTCGTCAACACTGGCGCTACACTGTAAGCCCTCAACCCTACCTTGATTAAGAACACTTTCCTCGGAGTAAAGAAAAAGTCCAAATGCTAGGGGTTTCAAACTCTCCTATTAAAGGCTTTAAATCAAATCCCCTTCAATGTCCATTAGGAGAACTAGTGGGGCATCACTTTTTTTAATAGTAGATAGAGTCCCCATACACCTGCTGGGACGGGATTTCCTAGAGGCCCATAATGCTCACATCTCATTTTCACAGAAGGGAGAAATGATTCTCAACTTGGGAGACATAGAAGACTTACAAAAGCCCACATGTAATATTATGCTTGTGAAAGTTAATCAAGATTCTGGACAGGAAAAATTAGAGCCTTTCTCTATCTAAGGTGCCAGACTCCTTATGGGCAAGCTCTTCCACAGATACTGAAAGAATTAAGTCAGCAGTCCCTGTAGAGATAAGCATAAATAAATCCAAACCCCTGTCAAATGTAAGGCAATATCCCCTTAGACCTGAAGCCTTACTAGAAATCAAACCAATCATTCAGGACTATTTAGACAAAGGATTCATAATACCCCACACCAGCCCTTGCAATACACCAATCCTCCCAGTTAAAAGCCAAATGGTAAAGGCTGGAGATTTGTTTAAGACCTAAGAGCTATAAATAAAATAATAATTTCTAGACACCCTGTTGTTCCTAACTCCCACACCTTACTGTCCAAAATTCCTATCACTGCCAGCCACTTCTCTGTTATTGATTTATGTAGTGCATTTTTCAGCATACCTATAGAGCAAATTAGCCAGTATCTTTTTGCTTTCACTTGTGAAAATTACCAATACACATGGACAGTCTTACCCCAGGGCTACTCTGAAAGTCCTACTTATTTTTCTCAAATACTAAAGGCAGATTTAGATGACACTGAATTTCCAAATGAATCTACACTCAGTATACGGATGATTTAGTGTTGTGTTCATCCTCCCTGGGAAAATGCAGAGAAGATACTGTCCACCTATTACAACAGCTTGCTTTGAAGGGACGAAAAGTATCAAATGAGAAATTACAATTTTGCCTGCCCCAAGTTAAATATTTGGAACATATGATTTCCCCAAGGGGGCTACTGATAAACCCTGAGAGAATCTCTGCTGTTATGACCTTTCCCCTGCCCCAAACTGAAAGGCAATTAAAAGGATTTTTAGGGTTAACAGGCTGTTGCAGGAACTGGATTCGAAACTACTCCTTAATGGTCCAACCCCTATGTAAAAAACTAAAACAGACCCAGCCAAACCCAATCCACTGGGAGGAGGGAGAAAAATAACACATAGAAGGTCTAAAACAGGCTCTCACACAAGCACCTGCTCTAGGCCACCCCAATTATAGTCTTCCCTTTTCCCTCTCTGTACATGAAATAAACATGAATGCTGTAGGAGTATTAACTCAAAAACATGGTGACAATCACAGACCAATTAGTTATTTTAGTCAACAGTTAGATCCAGCAACGGGGCACCCTCCTTGTATGAGGGTGGTATCAGCTTCAGCCACCTTATGCAAAAACGTCGAAGAATTTGTCCTAGGGTCCCCTCTGACCACACAGTAGGGTCCCCTACTCTGTGAAATCTCTTCTAAGCTCTCACCACACTCAACACTATTCTGTTAGGCACCTTGCCTCTTATGAGGTACCCCTGCTTTCTGCTCCCAACATCACTTTGAAGCACTGTAACACTCTTAACCCTGCTCCCCTGCTCCCCCTTCCAGGTGAACAACAAGAGGAAGAGGAAAACAACTTCAATCTACTAACTAATATCTTACTCTCCCCTAGGGAAGATTTACAGAAAACTCCCATTAAGAACGCTGAATTAATTTGGTTCATGGATGGTTCTTATTTAAGGGACAACCAGGGGCATTACCAGGCAGGATATGCCATCACTTCCATAACAAACATAATCGAAAGCACCCAACTCCAAGGAGTCCAGTCATCCCAGATGGCAGAGATAATAGCATTAACTAGAGCTTGTAAATTAGCCAAAGGAAAAGTGGCAAATATATATACTGATACCCAACATGCTTTCAGAGTAGCCCATGATTTTGACATTCTATGGAAACAGAGAGGATTTCTTACCTCATCCGGACAGGCCATACAAAATTAGCACCAAGCCTAGGAGTTACTAGAAGCAATTCAGATGCCAAAGCAATTTGTAATCATAAAAGTTCCTGGGCACTCAAAAGATAACACCGAAGAAGCAAAAGGAAATAATCTAGCTGATGCTGCAGCAAAGAATGCTGCCCTAGGAAAGGTGGCCTGTCCTGCATGGGAATGTACCTTTCATCCTACAAATACCCTCACTAACGTTCTTTTACAGTATCGACAAGCCTGTACCCCTCAAGAGAAACAAACCTGGCAGCAGAAGGGAGGAATGTTTGACCCAAGCAAGGAATTATAGCCAGGGCCTAACAACAACAACAAGAAAAGTCATAGTTCCCATAGGTGCACAATTGCCTTTCCTTCAGTTTATTCATGAAAAGACTCATCAGCCTCCTGAAAAAAATGGTATCATGGGGAAAACAATACTTTTGGAAATTATCCCTCATGGTAGCCCCAAAGGTATACACTCTCAATACACTATATGCCCAGAACATAACCCCGGCAAGCCCTTACATGGCTCCCAAGGTCATTTTCCTTTGCCAATAGGACCTTTTGAAGTACGGCAGTTGGGTTTTATCCAGATGCCTCCATCTCAAATTTTCAAATATGTGCTGGTCTTAGTTTGTATGTTTTCTCATTGAGTAGAAGCATTTCCTTGTCAGAGGGCTACCGCCTTAACAGTAGGGAAAATTTTGTTAGAGAGAATTGTTCCAGTTTGGGGAATTCCTTCCGAACTGCACAGTGATCGTGGGACTCATTTTACTGGACAAGTTGTTCAATCCATTTGCAAAATCTGGCCCATAATACAACATTTTCACTGTGCCTACCATTCCCAATCCTCCAGGTTGGTGGAATGGACAAATGGCACAATAAAAACTCAATTAGGTAAGTTGACAGAGGTTTTTAACCTCCCTTGGCCAAAAGCCCTCCCACTGGTCTTGCTTAATCTTAGATCCACTCCTTTTGGAAAACACTGTTTATTGCCCTGTGATATCATAACAGGGAGACCTAGGAAGCTGGTTGAGGACTTATACAAACCGGCCTTACTCAAAGGGCAAATATGGCACTATTGTCAAGGGCTCCTCAAAACCTTAAGAAATAATACAAAGCTGGTAACAGGATCTTTCCACAGTTAGCTCCCGGTGGGGCTGATCACCCCAAAGACCACGGATTACAGACAGGTGACTTTGTATGTTGGAAAAGACACCAACTGGAGGACTCCCTACAACCCCACTGGAAAGGACCTTATCAGGTGCTCTTAACCAACTCTTGCACTGCAAAGTTAAAGGGAATCGCTTTTTGGAGTCACATTTCACACCTAAAACGAGCACCCAGCCACATTCCTGACCGCCCAAGGACTTCTGAACCGGTCTCTGACACAAGCCTGTAAATGAACAGAACAGTGGAGGCTAAGTCGGTCTCTAGGGATACAACGAAAGCCGGCATACTTGCAGAGACACCGGATCAGGCCAATCCTCATGAACCCTAAAATAACCCTCATTCTTACTTTCATTGCTATAGGATATTGCTAAATCCCTGAATGTTTTAACTGAGACCCCTAAGAAGCTGTTTGGAATCTATGCAATCTTCCTTGGTATAACTTTCTAAATGGGTGTGGCCATACATTCCCTTGCTAAAGCCAGGAAAATGTTTTACTTGTTCATTCTCATTCCAGGCAAATGTTTTACTTGTTCATTCTTATTCCCACAATCTCCTCTGTCTGCCTACTGCACACTCCTTCTCTTTTCAAACCTGAAAATTTCTCCTGGTCCCCTGCACACCTCAGCAATCTTCCTGCAGACTGAGCCCACATCATTTGGTATGATATAGACCAGGATGAAATGAAGACTCTTATATGGAACAGCAACATTCTAAGCATTCTCCGAGGTCCCCCCTTTTTAGGGTACCTCTATTATAGGGTTTCAACCAAATATGACTCCCTGCAGGAATACTTGCCTAACAATGCCTCAGGACGATGGCTGAGAGGGTCTAACCAGGTAAAACATTGCATAGCAATAGATATTGAGGATAATCAGTTGAGACAACTGCTTGGTTACAATGGGAAACACCTAGCTGCCTCTTGTGTAAACTGCCATAGCATGGCCTGCCCAAATAACCACCAGCCCTGTGCTTGCGGCTGGATCCCCCTATCCAGCACCAACCACACTGACACTGCCCTTAAATAAATATTGATAGGAGTCAACTGGTGGACAGAGGGCCCTGAGAGCACAAATTCCACCCTAAGACCAGGGTGCCTCTGGGAAGCCTTATGGAATACCCAGACAAGGGTATACTTAGGTGTAACCTCCACTCACCTAACGATTGTTTGGGATGCCCAGCAGTTCTGGATTGACTCCATTTTTCCAAATTGTATAAATGCCATCAGTATACAATGGCAACAGCATTCCCAGTGGATACACCAAAATTGGCCACCCAAAAAACTAAAGCGCAGCCTCCCTGCAGGAACTGGAGCTAGGCTAGGCATACTGGGGCAAGCTGAGTTCATGACTAATGAAGGGAGACATTCTTTAGAGAAAAAGTCCCTATAAAAAATAGGCCACATGGAAGGAATGCTATTCCAGGAAGAGGAAAAAGGATGGGAAGTTGCTTTCAAAGATAATGCAGCACTCATCAAATGGATAGAATAAACCAGAAAAACCATGAAAACATACTCCCAAACCCAAAGATGGGAACAAGCATGCACTCTTACCCAACAGGGGCTCATGTCTATTTTATTACAAATGGAATCTGAGGTGGCTATGAAGCAATGGCCTACAATCCTCAGTACTGAGGCACAATCCAAACACCTGTGGAAAAATATATGGTTCCCAAAACTTATGAAGATTTTTGGATGGTAAATGTGACCTTAAACATTGTATTCTCAGAGCCCAGGCACCGCGAAGTTAAATGAGGCTCAATTGTACTCTGTCATTCAGTTCAACTGGCAGGCATTGGGACTATTGTAAACAATACAAGAATACTTCCCCTGGGAAATAGGTGGGCTATTTTAGCTGATAATAACACAAGGCATCCCTTATCCCTTTCAGATTGTGAAAAGAGAAAAGGAGAATTGCTATGCCCTCAAGCCACTTGGAACCCTGATTTTTCCCAAATTTGGCCTCTAATATCCACCCCCATGGGACATAGCATCTGGTATATGGGGAAGGGCCATTTCTGTTGGGAGGGACAACAAAATGACACTATAGAATTATACAACTTCTACGACAAAACCTCCTTTTCTCTTCCAAATACCAGTATACAGTGCAATACAAAAGTGGTGGAGAAAATAAAATTGTACACGGTTAACAAGTCCTATGACAATTTAGACATTGAGGACCAGGCGTTCTTTGCATTTGATTTATACCCTCCTGAGGATGTTATACCTATGGAGATAAAATTGGCCGAAAGAGAAATTAAATTTAGTTGATTCTGATTTAGTATTGGTCATACAATTCTCAAATAAGATTTATCATAAGTTTCAAATGACCCTTGATAAGGAGAGTAAACACATTGTGAGTTTGATCAAAGTGTATGATGATGCATGCAGTGGTTTTTTTTTTTTGTTTTTGTTTGTTTGTTTGTTTGTTTTTTTGGCTGGTTAGGTTGTTTACTGCCCTCTGACTCTACCTATTTTCTTCTTGGACACCTAATCTTTGCTATCTTTATGGTATTTGTTACCATATTATCATTATCTATCTCTTATAAATGTTATTCTAGATATAGCCAAAAAAAGATCATTTGTGGTGTTTTAATAAATTTTTATTATGAAACCTAAAGCAGAAAATAGAGTTTGGGGTCATTTCACCATTGTTAGAACATGTGGGGTCTATATTGGGTTTCTTAGCTTGTAGTCAGTATCTCCAATTGTTAGAATAAAATTTCTACTTGAATATTTATCTTCTCAGTTCAGATCAAGTGTGTCCAAACTTACACTCTCAATCTTCCCAGGAAATCATTCCTTCTTTATCATCTTCCTGTATCAGTCAGCAGAATTTTCAATCTTTCATTATTAACTACCAAATCTTAAAGCCCTTCTATTTTTTTTTTACCCTCAGCCTCTGCACCCCTATGGTTTCTTGGCAATCCTTCTACTGTACGCCATTTATATTTTTCCACTGCTACGACTCTAGTCTGAATACTTACCATCTCATACCTGCACAATTAACAACAGATGCCTCCTAGCTATAGAAACTCTCTAGTTGTTTTTGCTCCAATTCATCTTAGGTTTTGTTGCCAGAGCAACTATCCTAAAAAAATTGATAAATCACCTTTTATTCAAATCACCCAGTGGTTTTCAGTGACCTAGTTACTGTAGCTCAAATGCTGTGACATCTGGAATAAATTCAAACTCCTGAAGCTGATGTTCAAAGTCTTGTATATTCTGACCTAAATTTGCCTATGCAAATTAATCCCCACATTGTACCATGACAGTGACCCAGGTCTCCAGTAAAGGTACCTTTTGACTGTCCAATGAACACCGTAATCACATTCCTAGCACCAAGCTATTCTTCTTGCTTTATCTCTCTGTGTCGCCTATCAGGCAGTGTTTCTCAAAGGTCAGAAATAACACAATTATCTGAGATCCTTGTAAAACTTGCAGATTCGAAAGCCCACAACCCAGACCTGCTGTAAAGAGCACTTAGAATCCTATTTTTACAAGTTTTTCAGATGATTCTGGTGAAGGTTAAATTGTAAGATTCTAGATTTCAGGAACATGTAGAATTCTACTCTTAGTCTCTCTTGTCTGTGGCATAGTGCCTGATACAAATTAGGAGGTAAATATTTTTTAAAAGGCAAAATTTGTTTTGGTATAGAATATCTTAAATAGGAAAATTTCTTCAAATTTCAGATTTCAGGCATGAGGATGAAATTGTCTCTTTCTTTTGGCTAAAATCAGGTATATCCCCTTCAGTCTAGTTTTCAACTACACAATGGAAAAAATTTCATGGCAGCTACCAGATAGACTTAGCTGTAAGTAGGATATCTGTTTAGTATGGAAGGAAGGCATACCACTTGCTACAAGCTCTTGCAATGCCATTATTGAGATAAAAGTTAGGAAGCGAAGGCTGGTGGCAGGCTTACAACTAAGTAAATATGTTCTGACTGACAACAAAATGAATCCCAGAAAATTGTCAAATACTCTACCAGAGATAATGGAAAACATGACAGGCTGATGAAGAAGCATGGCAAATGGGGTATCTGGGCATAAGGAGTAAACAACTACCACTGAACAAAATGAAGCAACTTCCTCCAACCATTCCTCACTCAATAATAGAATGAACAAAATAAAGCATCTTCCTCCAACAGTTGTTCACTCAATAATGGAAGTGCTCTGGTTAATTTCAAAACCTGGAGGAAGCACCACTGAAAATAAAAACAAAACACAAGAAAAAGAAAGAAAATATTTTTGTGGAGATTCCCTTGAGAAGAAACACTGGAGTCTTGGATAATTTTTGAAAAATTCACTAGTTTTATATATATATATATATACACACACACACACACACACACACACACACATATATATATACACACACACACACAACTTATATATGTGTTATATATTATATATAACTTATATATAATATACACTACTTTAAATATATATAGCAAACTTATACATATTTATCATCTATATATATAATAAAAGTAAATCAAACCATGCACAAGGTTATATAAAGTAATTATTTATCCATGCTGCTTTCCTTTTTCATGAAGGCTCAGATTCTTAAATAACTGACTTATACATTTATTATCACATATCTTTACCCTTTACTACTACTAATAATTTACATCTACTGAGTTCTTATTTACCAGAAAGAATATTATCTAACTTAATTCTCACAGCAATCCCATCTTTTTACAGCAAATGTTTGAGATTCAGACATCAGCAACTTGTCAACGTTTATTTTCTAACCACATGACACACTTAGAAATTAATAATATTTGTACAGCAGCACATGGGAGTAACCAAATATGGTTTGACTGTGTCCCCACCCAAATCTCATCTTGAAATGTGGCTCTCATAATCTCCGCATGTCATGGGAGAAACCTGGTGGGAGGTAATTGAATCATGGGGGCGGGTATTCCCATGCTGTTCTCAGGATCGTGAATAAGTCTCATGAGATCTGATGGTTTTATAAAGGGCAGTTCCCTGGCCCATGCCCTCTTGCCTGCTGCCATGTAAGACGTGCCTTTGCTTCTCCTTTGCTGTCCACCATGATTGTGAGGCCTCCCTGGCCATGTGGAACTGTGAGTCCATTAAACCTCCTTTTTCTTTATAAATTATCCAGTCTTAGTTATTTCTTCATAGCAGTATGAAAATGGACTAATAAACAAAAGAATACCACTTTTGGCCACAGTACACAGGATAGGAGGTTCTGGCTGCCTTAAGACTAAGAGTATCTTGGCCCTCTAGTAACCCTTTCACAGAGCACCTGTGTGCTCTGACCATACCAGCTGAGAAGCTCTGCAACCTGTCCAAAAGATTACAGCTAATAAATAGTGGAGTGTGAGTCTGGAACCAGGTTTTTCTGACATCAAATCTCTTAATGATTCAATGATTCAATTCTGACTTTCATCCTCAAACATTTTGTTGCAGAATCTGTGTTTAGCACTGGGGGATTATTTTAAATGCATTGAAACAATGAAATAAAGTCCAAATATGCAGTCAGCTATCACTTCATTTTAGTTAAGATACAATGCTATGTGCAATCATTTATATCTCTCTGTGCCACTAAGCATTATAATATGGATTTTGTTACCTGTCTACCAAACTCATATACTCCAAGAAAGAAGAAATGCCATACAATTAAATTTACACAAGTTCTAATAATCTCAAGAAAGATTTGAGGTAGAAGTTACTTTCTTGAGTCTTAAAACTTGTTGAATATACGATATAGGAAATTTTTTTATTTCTATTTTTATTTTAAGTTCCAGGGCACATGTGCAGGATATGCAGGTTTGTTACATAGGTAAATACGTGTCACGGTGGTTTGCTGCTCCTATCAACCAATCACCTAGGTATTAAGCCCAGCATTCATTAGCTATTTTTCTAATGCTCTCCCTCTCCCCACCTCACCCCTCCCAACAGGCTTCAGTGTGTGTTGTTTGCCTTCCTGTGTCCATGTGTTATCATTGTGCAGCTCCCACTTATAAGTGAGAACATGCAGTATTTGGTTTCCTGTTCCCTGTGTTAGTTTGCTGATTATAATGACTTCAAGCTCCATCCATGTTCCTGCAAAGGACATGATCTCATTCCTTTTTATGGCTGCATAGTATTCCTTGGTGTATATGTACCACATTTTCTTTATCCAGTCTATCATTGGTGGGCATTTGGGTTGATTCTATGTTTTTTCTATTGTGAATAGTGCTGCAGTGAACATATGCATGCATGTATATTTGTTACAGAATGATTTATATTCATTTGGGTATATGCTCAGTAATGGGATTGCCGAGTCAAATGGTATTTCTGGTTTTAGATGTTTGAGAAATTGCCACACAGTCTTCCACAATGGTTGAACTAATTTACATTCCCACCAACAGTGTAAAAGCGTTTCTATTTCTCTGCAACCTCACCAGCATCTGTTGTTTATTGACTTTTTAATAATCACCATTCTGACAGGAGTGAGATGGTATTTCATTGTGGTTTTGATTTGCATTTTTCTACTAATTAGTAATGTTGAGCTTTCTTTTATATGTTTGTTGGCCGCACAAATTTCTTTCTTTGAGAAGTCTCGGTTCATGGCATTTGCCTGCTTTTTAATGGCGTTTTTTTTCTTATAAATTTGTTTAACTTAGTTATACATTCTAGATATTAGACATTTGTCACATGGATAGATTACAAAAATTTTCTACTACTCTGTAGGTTGTCTGTTCGCTTTGATGATAGTTTCTTTTGCTGTGCAGAAGTCCTTTAGTTTAATTAGATCTCATTTTCCAATTATTGCTTTTGTTTCACTTGCTTTTGGAGATTTTGTCATGAAATCTTTGTCCATGCCTGTGTCCTGCATGGTATTGCCTAGATTTTCTTCTGGGGTTTTTATAGTTTGGGGTTTTACATTTAGGTATTTAATTCATCTTGAGTTAATTTTTGTATAAGGTGTTAGGAAGGGGTCCAGTTTCAGTTTTCTGCATATGGCGAGCCAGTTTTTCCAGCATCATTTATTAAACAGGGAATCCTATCCCCTATTGCTTGTTTTTGTCAGAATGTTGTAGATGTTTAGTATTATTTCTGAGTTCTCTATTCTGTTCCATTAGTCTGTGTGTCTGTTTCTGTACCAGGATTAATGCTGTTTTGGTCACTGCAGCCTTGTAGTATAGTTTGAAGTTGGTTAGTGTGATGCCTCCAGCTTTGTTCTTTTTGCTTAGGATTGTCTTGGATATACAAGCTCTTTCTTGGTTCCATATGATTTTTTAAATATTTTCTTCTTATTTTGTGAAGAATGTCAATGGTAGTTTAATGGGAATAGCATGAAATCTATAAATTACTTTGGGCATTACGGCCATTTTCATGATATTCATTCTTCCTATCCATAAGCATGGAATGGTTTTCCATTTGTTTGTGTTATCTCTGATTTCCTTGAGCAGTGATTTGTAGTTCTCCTGGAAGAGGTCCTTCACGTACCTTGTTAGCTGTATTCCTAGGTGTTTTATTCTCTTTGTAGCAATTGTGAATGGGAATTCATTTATGATTTGGCTCTCTGTTTGTCTATTGTTGGTGTATAGGAGTGCTTGTGACTTTTGCACATTGATTTTTTTTATCCTGAGACTTTGCTGAAGTTGCTTATTAGCTTAAGAAGCTTTTGACCTGAGATGATGAGGTTTTCTAGAAATAGGATCATGTCATCTGCAGAAAAGACAATTTGACTTCCACTCTTCCTGTTTGAATACCATTTATGTTTTCTCTTGCCTGATTGCCCAGGCCAGAATTTCCAATACTACATTGAACAGGAGTGGAGAGAGAGGACATCCTTGTCTTGTGTCAGTTTTCAAGGTGAATGCTTTCAGCTTTTGCCCATTCAGTGTGATGTTGGCTGTGGGTTTGTCATAAACGGGTCTTATTATTTTGAGGTAAGTTCTTTCAATACCTAGTTTATTCAGAGTTTTTAACATGAAGAGATGTTGAATTTTATCAAAGTCCTTTTCTGGGTCTATTGATAAAATAATGTGGTTTTTGTCTTTAGTTCTGTTTATGTGACATTTTACATTTATTGATTTGCATATGTTGAACTAGCCTTGCATCACAGGGATGAAGCCAACTTGACTGTGGTGGATAAGCTTTTTAATGTGCGGCTGGATTTGGTTTGCCAGTATTTTATTGAGAATTCTTGCATATATGTTCATCAGGGATATTGGCCTGAAGTTTTTGTTGTTGTTGTTGTTTGCTGTTGTGGTATCTCTGACTGGTTTTGGTATTAAGATAATGACATAAAATGAGTTAGGGAGGACTCCTTCCTTTTCAATTGTTTGGAATTGTGGGGGTGTGTCCCGCAGACCCTGACCCAATGATGGATGAATAACATACACCAAGACAGATATTTTGCCTGTCAGTCTGGCTGAGGGTCGGGGCCACTCACAGACACCAAGGAGGGTGCTGTAAAGAGTCACAGCCACGGCCCCAAGTAGCCAGTGAAGCTCACATTTATTCAGTATAGATTAAATGACAAAGGTCTTGAGTAAACACCATTAGAGGGTAATTGACATTGCAGATCTCACAAATAGAGAGCAATTATGCACCCGCAGGTAATCAAAGGTTTGTCTTAGGACCACATGAGTAAACAAGCTATTTAGATAAACTCCCTTACATTCCTTTGTACCTATTTTAAGCTATTTACTCAAGGTAAGGATTAGGCTGCCTTCAGCCAGATCTATTACTGGAGTTTATGCAAACCCCCCGGCCTTTCAAGGTTTGTGCCTATTTCTTATAACTATCTTTCAAATTTTTCCCACCAGCCTGACAGAACTCCCACATGGAATAGTTTCAGAAGTAAGGGTATCAGCTCTTCTTTGTACCTCTGGTAGAATTAAGCTGTAAATACACCTGGTCCCGGGCTTTATTTAGTTGATAGGCTATTTATTACTGCCTCAATCTTGTTATTGGTCTATTCAGGGATTCAACTTCTTCCTGGTTCAGTCTTGAGAGGGTGTATGTGTCCAGGAGTTTATCAATTTCTTCTAGATTTTCTAGTTTATTTGCATAGAGGTGTTTATAGTATTCTCTGATAGTTGTTTGTATTTCTGTGGGGTCAGTAATAATCCCCTTTATCATTTTTTATTGTGTCTATTTAATTCTCATCTCTTTTTTATTAGTCTACTAGCAGTCTGTTTTATTTTTTTCAAAAAATTAGCTGCTTAATTCGCTGATTTTTTAAAAGGGTTTCTCCTGTCTCTATTTCTTTTAGTTCCACTCTGAGCTTGGTTAATTATTATCTTATTCTAGCTTTGGGGTTTGTTTGCTCTTGGTTCTCTAAATCTTTTAGTTGTGATGTTAGGATGTTGATTTGAGATCATTCTAGCTTTTTAATGTTGGCATTTAGTTATATAAAATTTCCTCTTAACATTGCTTTTGCTGCATCCTGGACATTCTGGTACATTGTCTCTTTGTTCTCACTAGTTTCAAAGAATGTCTTGATTCCTGCCTTAATTTCATTATTTACCCAGGAGTCATTCAGGAGCAGGTTTTCAGTTTTCATGTAATTGTGTGACTTTGAGTGAGTTTTTTAATCTTGAGTTCTAATTTGATTGTGCTGTGGCCTGAGAAGTTGTTATTATTTCAGCTTTTTGTGTTTTTTTTTTTTTTGCATTTGCTGAGGAGTGATTTACTTCCAATTATGTAATCAATTTTAGAGTAAGTGTCATGTGGTGCTGAGAAGAATGTATATTTTGTTGTTTTGGGCATCAAGAGTTTTGTAGATATCAGGTCCACTTGATCCAGAACTGAGTTAAAGTCCTGAATATCTTTATCAATTTTCTGAATCAATTATCTGTCTAATAGTGACTAGTGACCATGGGGTGTTAAAGTCTCCCACTACTATTGTGAGGAAGTATACATCTCTTTGTAGGTCTCTAAAAACCTGTTTTATGAATCTGGGTGCTCCTGTATTGAGTGTATATATATTTAGGATAGTCAGCTCTTGTTGAATTGACACCTTTACCATTATGCAGTGTCCTTCTTTGTCTCCTTTGATCTTTGTTAGTTTAAAGTCTGTTTTGTCAGAAACTAGGATTGCAACCTCTGTTTTCTTCTGTTTACCATTTGCTTGGTAAATTTTCCTCCATCCCTTTATTTTAAGTCTATATCTGTCTTTGTGTTTCAGATGGGTCTCTTGAAGACAGCATACTGATGGATCTTCACTCTTTAGCTTTCTGTTCTTTGTCTTTTAATTTTGCCATTTAGCCCATTTACATTTTAGTATTGTTATATGTGAATTTAATCCTGTAATCATGATGCTAGCTGATTATTTTGCAGACTTGTTTATGTAGTTGCTTCATAGTGTCATTGGTCTGTGTACTTCAGAGTGTTTGTGTAGCGGATGGTAATAATTTTTATTTTTCCATACTTAGTGCTTCCTTCAGGAGCTCTTGCAAGGCAGGCCTGGTGATGATGAAGTCCTTCAGCATTTGCTTGTCTGAAAAAGATCTTATTTCTCCTTCACTTATAAAGATTAGTTAGACTGGATATGAAACTCCAGGTTAAAAATTCTTTTTTTTTTTTTTTTTTTTCTTTTTTTTTTTTTTTTTGAGACGGAGTGTCACTCCATTACCCAGGCTGGAGTGCAGTGGCACAATCTTGGCTCACTGCAAGCTGCACCTCCTGGGTTCACGCCATTCTCCTGCCTCAGCCTCTGGAGTATCTTGGGCTACAGGTGCCCACCACCACGCCTGGCTAATTTTTTGTATTTTTAATAGAGACGGGGTTTCACTGAGTTAGCCAGGATGGTCTTGATCTCCTGACTTCATAATTCGCCCTCCTCGGCCTCCCAAAGTGCTGAGATTACAAGCGTGAGCCACCGTGCCCAGCCAAAAATTCTTTTAAGAATGTTGATTATTGGCCCCTAATCTCTTCTGGATTATAGGGTTTCTGCTGAAAGGTCTGCTATTAGTCTAATTGGCTTCCCTTTGTAGGTAACCTGGCCTTTCTTTCTGGTTGCCCTTCACATTTTTTCCTTCATTTCATCCTTGGAGAATCTGGTGATTATGAATTGGGGTTGATCTTCTCATAAAGTATCTTACTGGGGTTCTCTGGATTTCCTGAATTTGAAAGCTGTCCTGTCTTGCTAGGTTGGGGAAGTTCTCCTGGATGATATGTTTTCCAACTTGGTTCGGTTCTCCCTGCCTCTTTCAGGTACACCAAATCAGTCATAGGTTGTCTTTTTATATAATCTCATAGTTATGTGAGGTTTTGTTTGTTCCTTTTCTTTCTTTTTTCTCTAATCTTCTCTGCCTGTATTATTTCAGCAACATAGTCTCCAAGCTCTGATATCCTTTCTTCTCCTTGGTTTATTCAGCAATCGATACTTGTGTTTGCATTGTGAAGTTCTCATGTTGTGTTTTTCACCTCCATCAGGTCATTTATGTTTCTCTCTAAACTGGTTGTTCTGGTTATCACTCCTATAATGTTTTATCATGGTTCTGAGCTTCTTTGCAATGGGTTAGAACATACTCTTTTAGCTCAGTGAAGTTTGTTATTACCCATCTTCTGAAGTCTACTTCTGTCAATTAATCCATCTCAGCCTCAGCCAAGTTCTGAGCCCTTGCTGGAGAGGTATTGCAATAATTTGGAGGAGAAGGGGCACTCCAGCTTTCTGAGTTTTGAGCATTTTGTGTTGACTCTTTCTCATCTTTATGGGTTCATCTACCTTAGATCTTTGAGGCTGCTGACTTTTGGATAGGGTTTTTTGTGGGGTCTTTATTAATTGATGTTGTCGCTTTTGGTTTGTTTTCCTTTTAGCAGTCAGGCCCCTCTTCTGTAGAAATGCTGCTGTTTGCTAGGGGTCTATTCCAGCCACTATTTGCCTGGATCCCTCCCACACCTGGAGGTATCACCAGTGGCGGCTGCTGAACAGCAAAGTTGGCAGCCTGTTCCTTCCTCTGGGAGCTCTGACGCAGAGGGGCACCAACATGATGCTGGCTGGAAATCTCCTGTATGAGGTGTCTGGAGGCCCCTCTTGGGATGTCTCATCCAGTCAGGAGGAACAGGTTCAGAGACCTGCTTAAATAAGTAGTCTGGCTTCCCATTGGTGGAGTGGGGGTGTTGTGCTGGGGGGAATACCCCTTGTCTGGGCTGCCCTGACGCTACAGAGCTGGTAGGTAAAAAAAAAGCTAAGACCACTTATCCACAATACTACAGCCACTTCTCCCCCTTGGGGCTCCTCTCAGAGACAACAGAGATCTGTCTATAAACCTCTGGCTGGGGATGCTGAAAATCCTGCAGGGAGGCCCCACCCGGTGAGAAGGAATCAGTCAGGGTCCCGCTTACAGAAACAGTCTGGCCAAGAACTGTCACAGCTGCTGTGCTGCACTGTGGGGAAACCACTCCAAGTCCAAGCCACGCAGTCTTGCTGGCACCGGTGGCAGGAGAAAATGGCACAATGGAGCCACAGTGATGGTGGCTGTCTCTTCCCCCTCAGAACTCAATCTTCTTAGGCAATCTCCAGCCTGCTGTGCTGGCTGGCAGAGATTCCAAGCCAGTGGGTTTTAGCTTATGGAGTTCCATGGAAATGGGACCTGCTGAGTGAAACCACTTGGCTCCCTGGCTTCAGCCCCCTTCCCGTGAGAGTGGATGGATCTCCTGCCTCACTATAGTTCTCAGAGACAGAGTACACAAAAACTCCTGTGTCTCAGTGCCTGCCCAAGTGGCTGCCCACCCCAAGTAGCCACCATTGGTCTGCATAGCTCTTTGCTTTGGACCCAAGGCCCAGGTGGCATGGGCTCATGAGGGGACCTCCTGATCCATGGGTTGCAAAGGTTTGTGGGAAAATCATGGTTTCAGGGCGGGGTAGCACAATTCCTTACCCTCTCCCTTGGCTGGGTGAGGAAGATCCCTTTGGCCCATGCAGTTCTTGGGTAGGCCCTCACTCCACCCTACTTTTCCTCACTTTCTGCCAGTTACACCAACTGCCTGGTCAGTTCTAATAAGAGGACATGGGTACCTCAATTGAAGATGCAGCTGTGGTGGCTAAGGGAGTGCTAGCATCACCAGTCTCCTAATCCCAGGCTGCACAGCTCACAGCTTCAAAAGAGGACGATTCATTCTTCTTGAGAACAGGAGAGGAAAGAGTGGAGAGGACTTCATCTTGCATCTTGGATACCAGCTCAGCCACAGCAGGATAGGGCACCAGTCAGAGTAGTGAGGCCCCCATACCTGACCCCTTCTCCCACACAACTTTTCTAGACACACCTAAAGCTATAAGGAAAACCACTGCCTTGGAGGCAAGGACCCAATCCTGGCAGGATTCATCACCTGCTATTTGAAGAGCCCTTAGGCCCTGAATAACTAGCAGTGATACCAAGGTACTTCATCTGGGGCCTTGAGTGAGCCTCTGAGACTTGTTGGCTTCAGGTAGCAGAATAGTCACAGAAGGACAGAGCATCAAGGGGGCTTTTAGGGTCCCTGATTCCAGGACTTAACTCTTGCATGGCATTTCTGGACCTGCAAGGGAACCTTGGGCCAGAAGGGAACCTACTGCATTGAAGAAAAGGACCTAGTCCTTGCAGTATTCATCACCTGCTAACCGAGGAAGCTTGGGCCCTGAATAACTCAGTGATAACCAGACACTATGTTGAGGGCCTTGGGTGAGGGCTCTTGGACTTTCTGGCTTCAGCTGAGACTCAGCACAATACTGGTGGCCATGAAACAAAATTCCTTCTGCTTGAGCAAAGCAGAGGAAAAAGTAAAGGGGACTTTGTTTTGCACCTTAGGTACCAGCATGGCCACAGGGGAATAGAGCACCAAGTAGGCTCTTGTGGTGCCTGATTTTAGTAATTGAGTCTTTGGTAACATCTCTGGGCCTCCCCTAAGCCAGAGTGGAGCCGATTGCCATAAATGGTGAGTCCCAGGCCAGGCAGAATTCACTGCCAGTTGACTGAGGAGCCCTTAGACCTTAAAGGAACATCAGTGGTAGTCTGGAAGAGCTTCCTACTGGCTGTGGTGGCAATAGCTCTGGGGTGAGGCTCCTCTGCTTTTGGAAAGGGAATGGAAGAGTGGGAGGGACTGTGTCTTGTGCTTTGAGTGCCAGCACAGCTGGAGTACAATAGAATGCCAGGTAGTCTTCTAAGGCTTTTGATTCTAGTCTCAGATTTCTTGATGGAAACTCTAGACACATGTGGGACCAGGGAAAACTTGCCACCATTAAGAGAAGGAAACAGGCCTGGCTATCTTTGTCATTTGCTGATTGTAGAGTCCCAGGTTATTGAGCAAACATAGGCAGTAGCCAAGGAGAGATTAAAATAGGCCTTGGGAAACACCCAGTGCTATGATGTTCTCAGTTCTGTCCCAGCACCATCCTAGTTGTGGTGACTGCAGGTGTGCTTGTGTCAATCCACCACCAGCATTGGGAGGCTCAGAACAGAGAGAAAAACTCCATTTGCATGTGAGGAAGTACAGGAAGAAAATAAGGGTCTCTACCTAATAATCCAGAGAATGCTCCCAGATCTCATGCAAGACTATCAAATTGGTGCCTCTATGAGTCTGCAAGAAGCACAGTGTTACTGGGCTTCAGGTGCCCTGTAATGCAGATACAGGTTAGATCACAACACCCAATTCCTTTTAAATATCTGGAAAGCCTTTCCAAGATGGACAAGTACAAGCAAGCCCAGAAAGTAAAGACGAAAATAAGTATCTAACTCTGTAATACCCAGACACCAAAGAATATCTATGAGCATCAGCATCATCTAGGAAAACACGACCACAGCAAATAAGCTATATAAGGCACCAGAGACCAATCTTAGAGAAACAGGTATATGTAAACTTTCAGAAAGAGAATTGAAAATACCTATGTTGAGGAAACTCAGAGAAATTCAAGATAACTCAGAGACAGAATTCAGATTTCTATCAGATAATTTTAACGGAGATTGAAATAATTAAAAAGCATTGAGCAGAAATACAGCAGTGGAAAAATGTAATTGGCATACTGAAGAATGTATTAGAATCCTTTAATAACAGAACTGATCGAGCAAAACAAAGAGTTAGTGAGCTTGAAGGCCAGCTATTTGAAAACGGACAGTCAGAGGAAAAAACAGAAAAAAATGAAGCATGCCTACGGAATCTATGAAGTAGCCTCAAAATGGCAAATTAAGAGTTATTGGCCTTAAAGAGGAGGTAGGGGTAGAAAATTTATTCAAAGAGATAGAGGTCAAAAGTTAATTCAAAGAGATAATAACAGAAAACTTCCCAAACCTAGAGAAACATATCAGTATTCAAGTACAAGAAGGTTACAGAACACTAAGCAGATTTAACCTAAAGAAGACTACTTCAGGGCACTTAATAATCAAACTTCCAAATATCAAGGATTTTTAAAAGATCCTAAAAGCAGCAATAGAAAAAAAAATAACACACAGTGAATTTTCAGTATGTCTGGCAGCAGACTTGCCAAAGCTCCTGAATGACTGGCGGGTCAATGAAGAAATTAAGAAAAAAACTGAACATTTTCTGGAAGCAAATTAAATGGAAGCACAACATACCAAAACCTATGGGATACAGCAAAAACAGTACTCAGAGGGAAATTTATAGGTATAAATGCCTACACCAAAAAACCTAACAAAAATCAAATGAACAATCTAACAAGGCATCCTTAAGAACTACAAAGGCAAGAGTAAACCAAACCCAAAATTAGTAGAAGAAAATAAATAATAAATATCAGAGCAGAAACAAAGAAACTTGAAATGAAAAAAATACAAAGATCAATGAAACAAAAAGTTGATGTTTTGAAAAGGTAAGCAAAATTGACAAATGTTTAGCTAGACTAAGAAAAGAGAGAAAAGATTCAAATAAATCAGAGATGAAATAATAGATATTATGACCTGATACTGCAGAAATTTAACATATCGTTAGTGGCTACTGTGAGGAACTATATGCCAATAAACTGGAAAATCTAGAAGAAATGGACAGATTACTGGATACATACAACCTGCCATGGTTGAATCAGGAAGAAATCTGAAACCTGAACAGACCAATAACAAGGAATGAGATTGAAGTAATACATTTCTATTACTATAAACCACAAAGTTTATGTTTATTTGTTATAGCAGCCCTGGAAAACTAATACAAGAACCTAACATATATTTTCTCATTTAATGTTTATAAAATCACTGCCAGGCAGAAATTTTTATTTACATTTTATAGATAAAGATGTGAATAAGAAATAAAACTTCATTCACTCCTCTGACAGGTATGCAGTGCCTACTCTGTGCTAGTCTCTGTTGATCCACTGAGAAATACAAATATATACAACTTGCCCAAGGAAGCACAAATTATAAATGACAAAGACAGAATATGAATCCATGTCTACCTGGCTCCAAAGACATTATATACCTCATCACATTCGTAAGCAATGATTTTATCACTGGCTTCAATAATTTGATATTGATTCCCTCCCAATGCAGGTCACCGAGTCTTCATACACAGAAATTATTCTTCACTCATGGCCCCAGCTGCGTCTCAGTGAATTTTTTTCCCAAGAAGACGAAGCAGAGTAATAGGCTACACATAGGCTACACACTTTTCTTTCTGCAAACAAAATGGTAAGGGTGAAATCTTTCTCTTTCAATAAGGGCTCAAGTAATACTCTCTCCTTTGAAAGTGAAAATGTTTTTGCAGATGCTTCCCTACTCTTCTTCAAAAAGAGATTTGTTCACGCCTGTAATCCCAGCACTTTGGGAGGCCGAGGCGGGTGGATCATGAGGTCAGGAGATCGAGACCATCCTGGCTAACAAGGTGAAACCCCGTCTCTACTAAAAATACAAAAAATTAGCCGGGCGCGGTGGCGGGCGCCTGTAGTCCCAGCTACTCGGGAGGCTGAGGCAGGAGAATGGCGTGAACCCGGGAAGCGGAGCTTGCAGTGAGCCGAGATTGCGCCACTGCAGTCCGCAGTCCGGCCTGGGCAACAGAGCGAGACTCCGTCTCAAAAAAAAAAAAAAAAAAAAAAAAAAGAGATTTGTGCCATCTGCTCATCACATCTGGATCAAGGGTAGTATGTCTAAAGATTTTTTTTCATTTCATTAAAAACAGGAAGGAAATTTTTTTTAGTTCCCAATTGTGAAATTATATAATTTCAACCTTTACTTAGGAGTGCTCAGTTACAACTATCAGTGGTATCTAACTTTGTCGTATTCTCACAATAAAATAAGGATCTTCTTGTTCCAGATACAAAGAGGCAACATGTAGAGTAAACTGTGCTGGCTTTAGGTAAGACAAAACTGACTGGAGTCATGGCCTGACTGCCTTACTATGAGAAAGCTGTAGAATCATCACACGAGAGGTTAGAAAGTAATTTATTTTCACTTCTCTTGTCTGCAAATGAGAAAATTGAAACCAATAATGGGTAAGAGAATCCGCCAAGGATTTACAGGAAAAGCTAGAAGGTAGAGTCAGAAATGGAAAGCAGGATTTATTTCTTTTAGGTCAATGCCTTTTATATGAATCATGCTCTTTCTTTGAGCTTCAAAATTCTTCTATGCAAATTAAGGTTACCGACCTAACAGGATTATTGTTAGCATCAAATGAAAGAATCTTTGTGAAAGACCTTGGGTCACTTCCTCTAAGCCTCAAGTTCAACTACTTTCAAATGAGTAGATTGTACTACACAATATCTCAGTTATGAGATTTGTTGTTTGTATGTGTTAAGTATAAAGTGGTGTACAAATATATTTTATTTCTATATCTCCATAATTCCTAAACTAAGTGGTCTATCTCTTCTTGATTCCATTTATTTTGACAACAGTGAACAAAATTGTTTGAGGTCATATAGAAACAAAACTCTAGTATCTCTATCCCAAGGTCATGTTTGTATTACACATTCCATTAAACAATATAATTAAATCAACATATGCAAAAGAGTTCCACTAAATGGCCAAAAGCCAGGCTTGGCTACATTCATGAAGTAGTGCTTCTATCATGGTTTTGTGCCATTTTCCCACACTACTAATTTGGGTTGAGAAATACTTTATCTTGTTTTCATTTCTACTATTTTTCAAGAAATTCTACGACAAAAAGCATTCACTTGCTCTCTAAATGAAGTAATTAAACACTCTGTGAGGATTAAAAAGTACAATAAAAATAGAGATTCACATAACCGTAATTGGTACCTAACCAGGTGCATAGTTTTGTTGCTGTGGAGAAGTATGGAAAGATGGAAGAAGTTTTTATTCTAATGTATATGTATTTGTCTATTTTCCAATATTAAAAATAGAATGGGTGGGGATTTTATTGACAGACAGGTTGAGTGAATGTTCAGAACTGTAACTAAGACACCTGATGAGGCCAGGTGCGGTGGCTCATGCCTGTAATGCTAACATTTTGGGAGGCTGAGGGGGGCGGATCATGAGGTCAGGAGTTCACAGAGCAGCCTGACCAACCTGGTGAAACCCATCTCTACTGAAAATACAAACATTAGCCAGGAGTGGTGGCGCATGCCTGTAATCCCAGCTACTTGGAAGGCTGAGGCAGGAGAATTGCTTAAACCGCTGGGGCAGAGGTTGCAGTGAGCTGAGATCATGCCACTGCATTTTGGCCTGGGTGAGAGAGCAAGACTCCATCTCTGGGGGCAGGGGATGTTGGAGGGAGGAGACACCTGATGAGGACTTTTAATGGTTATTAGAAAGGCAGTAAAAAGGCATGTATACAAAGTTCTATTGGCCATATCCTGAAAAGCAAAATTCTGGTATATATAATACTAATCATCCATTTAACAATCCATCCATCTACTCAATCATCCATTCATTCAAGAAATAGTCTTGAGTATATACCCAGAATCATTTTAGGCTATGGAAGTAGAGTAGTAAACAAACAGACAAAAGTTCTTACTCTTTTGGAGTTGATAATTTGTGTGTGTGAGAGAGGTAGTCAGAGAATAAATAAATAAGAAAAGTATACAATATATCAGTTGGTAAAAAAGCTATGGAAAATAATGAAGTCAGGAATAATAAAATAATAAAGTAAGGATAAGTGTATTAGTCTGTTCTCACACTGCTATAAAGAACTGCCCCAAACTGGGTAATTTATAAAGGAAAATGGTTTAACTGACTCCCAGGTTCACATTACTAGGGAGGCCTCAGGAAACTTACAATCAGGGCAGAAGACACCTCTTCACAGGGTGGCATGAGAGAAAATGAGTGCCAGCAGGGGAAATGCCAAATGCTTATAAAACCATCAGATCTCATGAGACTCACTCATTATCATGAGAACAGCAGGGGGAAACTGCCCCCCCATGATTCAATTACCTCCACCTGGTCCTGCCATTGACATGTGGGGATTATTACAATTCAAGGTGAGATTTTGTTGGGGACACAGAGTAAACCATGTCAATAAGCAAGACTGGTGAAAGGGGTAAGAGTTTCAATTTCAATAAAAATTTGCAGAGATGAGGGATTTATCCATGAAGATACTTGAGGGAAGAGCTCCTGGGCAGAAAGATTGGCAATTGCAAAGGCCCTGAAGCAGGGACATGTATGGGGTGTTCAAGGAAGCCAGAATTACTGGAGTGAGATAGATGAAGAGCAGTAGGGAACAATATCAGAGAGATAAGGGGGTGAGAGGATCTCTGGAAGGTGTGTGTGTGTGTGTGTGTGTGTGTGTGTGTGTGTGTGTGTGTGTGTGTGTGTGTGTGTATATATATATATATATATATATATATATATATATATATATAAAATCCAGATGAATTTTGACCTTTACCGAGAATGAGTTGAGAAGCCTTCAAAGGATATTGAAGAGTGAAGAATATGATCTGATGTATACCTTAATAGGATCAATATGGCTGTTCTTCTGAGAACAATTTGAAGAGGAACAAGAGTGAAAACAGTGAGACTAGTTAGCAGACTGTAGAGGTCATCCAGGTCAGAAGTGACAGTAATTTGATCAAGATTGTAGGATGGTAACAGTGAAGACTGGGATAAGTTGTCAGATTTTGGTTGTATTTTGAAGAAGAAATAAAGAAAAATAGGGCAGTATTATTTCAGGCATAACATTTGAAACACTAACATTATAAACACTGCTCTTGCTCAAGCTAAAGGAATTGCAAATTTTAAAGTGCCATTTTATATTCTCCAGGTGGTGGTGGGAAGGGGAATAGAAAGAGCAAATCTGATTGCCTGGCTTTTATCCAAACGAACCTACTCACTTTTAACTCTTAGAAAAGGCATGTAGGGGAAAAAATCAATTCTACCAATATCCTAACATACTTAATATTTTCTAAGAGGAGTTGTGCTCCTGGTAATTAATTTTTTCTTTTGTACCATTAGTTCAAGTTTATATTTTCATTCACCAAATACTGAAATATTTGCCCTGGGAAACTGAAGGGAAACTGAAAAGGGATTTTAAGAAGTAAGGACTGCAAGAACATAATGCAAATCAGAAAAAATGTGCGGTAACATCAATCTACAATTTTTTTTCCAGCTAAAATCAGATGCATTGCCAAAAAGTCACAGGTGAGGAGGACATGTAATAATAAGAGACAACAAAGTGAAAAGATTTACATCCAACACACTTTCATTCAATTGAGAGGTTGGGAACCACTTAAATATAGTTTTGAAAATACTAGAGGATTAAAGAAAGTGAATATCAATAACCCTAAAATCACATAATGAAATAGGGAAAGAATGGATTTACAAGGGACATGAAACACCTGCAATCCTCTCCTAAGCAGGTTTTATTTGTTCCTTTATGAGATTTGAACATATTTTCATGTGACTGGGTTAAAATTGTATACTGAGCCGGCTTCCAATAAAAACTGTATAAAAGTAGCCTTCAAATTATCAATATCATTGTTAACATGAGTGCCAAATTTGTATATGCAAATAAATAATTCCCCTTTTCCCATGTTTTTGTAGATTTTACAATGCACAGAGGCTCCTGGCCCACCCAGGGTATAATTGATGGCTGAATTCTTCCTTCATTTCATTCCAAGTCCTTACTCTGATAACAGAAAAGAAGGGCACCTATTTATAATTCTTACAAGTAGAGAAGGCCTTTTTGTACATTTTACAAAAGCGCATTCTGTGCTGGCTGTGGTTCCTCACTCCAATCTCTTTGTAAATAATCACCTTTTTGGAGTCAGTTATAGATCAAGCTTCTCAAACTGCAGTGAACTGGGACGCTCGCTAATAATTCAGATTTCTTGGCCCCATCACCAACCTCTTAAACCAGTATCTCCATTGGTTCGGGCCCAGAATTTACAGTTTAAACAAATATTCCTGCAGATCCTGATGCTGCTGAACATCAGAACAACAGTTGGAAAAACACTATTATAACTGCATTCAAGCAATGAGAAAATATCTCAAATATCTCAAAATATCGAAGAGTCGTCCTAGTTTTGCTATTTATTAAATGCATGAGGTTAATTGAATTTGTACAATAAGGATAAAATATTGGGTCTGCCTAATTCACAGGGTTATTATAAAATTAGGCAAGAATGGTTTCTAAATCAGACTTTGCACCAAAATCACCTAGAGCTTATTATAATAAAAATAGAGCTGTCTGGATTTCACGCCCAGCTCACAGTATCAAAATCCTTGAGGCTGGGTCTTGGCAGTCTTGTCACTTCTCTCCCGAGTTGAAACCTCTGTTTTCTGGGTATAATGTCTCCCATTTTCTTGTTTTACACCCTTGTTCTAGAGGGATACATAATTCAGTGACTTCCTGAGAAAGGGTACATGAGAAGAATATTTTGGATTTTTTGTCTGTTTTTTTACAATCTGAACATGAGATTAACTCATAATCCATTTTTGGTTTGGCTAAATATATAATTTTATCCAGGAAATTATCTTCCTTTAGAATTTTTAAGGCATGATTGTAATATTTCTTATTTTTTGTGTGTGATAAGGGCTTTTTTTCTATATTTCTCTTTTCAAGGAAGTGTTTTATTTACCCATTAACTTACTGTTTTTTGGTGGTGTACATTTCTACCTATAGATCCGAGCTTCCATCAGGCATCAAAAATGATTGTCTAAAACAATCAGCATTTATTTGACTGCAGGTCTTCTGGTAACAGATGATCTCAGCTTTCATTTATGTGAAATGTCTATTTTACTTTTTCGTGAAGAATATCATCATCTAATACAGAATTCTGGGTTGACTATTTTTCTATTAACTCTTTAAATATAACATTCAATTGTCTTATGGCCTTAATTGTTTGTGATAGGAATCAGCTAATTTATACTATCGTTCTCCTTGACTTAATGTGTCTTTTTTTTAAACTGACTACTTCAAAGATTCTTCTGAATTTAGTGTTTAGGAATTTGACTAGATATAACTAGGAATGCATGCACATTCATGCACCCCTGTGTTCATTTATCCTGCCTGGGGTTCACTGGGCTTTTCTAATCTATAAATTGATACCTTTTAATTAAATCTGGGAACTTTTCAGGCACTAATTCATCAAATATTGTGATATCCATTTTCACTCTCTTCTCCTTCTGGGACACCAAATAAATGTATGTATATTAGATTATTTAACATTGTGGCACAAGACTCAAACTCTGTTCATTTTTTCTCAGTCTCTTATTATCTTGATTCTTCAGATGGTTCTTGCATAGTTACTTTTGTTCTGCATTCGTGTTCACTGGCTCTTTCTTCTGCCATCTCCAATCTACTTGTCAAGGCTATCCAATGGATATTGTAATTTTGTATTGTACTATTCAGATCTAGTCTTTCCTTTTGATCTCTTTAATAGATTTCCATTTTCTTTCTTTAGAGATCCCCTATTTATGCCATTTTCCTTCTATTCTTTTTTCCTTTTTTATTTAAAACTCTAAATATTTAAAGTAGCTACTTTAAAGACTGCTAAATCCAACACCTGGGTCATTTGGCATTTGATTTTTATTAATCTTTTATAAACATCGGTTACATTTTCCTATTTCTTTTCATATATAGCATTATATTAAATCAATTCCAAAGTGTAAAATTAAATGATTTGATAGATGTATGCATCCATGTAGCCACAATTACAATCAAGATATATTTTATTGGTGCAAAATCAATTGCATTTTTTTGCCATTGCTTATAACGGCACCAGCCTAACAGAACATTTCTATCACCCAAAAAGTACACTTATGCCTCTCTTCCTGGTTAGTCTCCACACCCTTCCTGTCCCCAGGCAACTACTAATCTAAATTAAATTCCTACAGAGTAGATTTGTCTTTCTTACAGTTTTACACAAATAACACTATATAGTATGTTCCCTTTTATGTCTGGATTATTTTGTGCAACATAGTATTTTTTAAGATTAATGCACACTGTTGTGCATATCCATATTCATTTTTGTCACTGAGTATGGATGTGTCAAATTTTCACCTGTTGACGGAAATTTTGATTATTTCTAGTTTTTGGCTGTCATGACGAGCATACTATAAATATTCCTGTATGAGTCTTTGACAAGAATTTTTATTTCTCTTAATACCTAGAGATATGTGTACTCAGTCATTTTGTAAGTGTATGATTTTATAGGAAAAAATACTACTAAAGGGCTTACCAAAGGTATTGAATGCTTTTACATTTTTACCTGCAATTATTGAGAGAGTTCCAGATGTTCTACATCCTCAGAAGCCCTTGACATTGTCTGACTTTGTAATATTCACCATTTTAGAGTGTTATGAAAGTGATACTCTGGTCTTTGTGTTCTGGCTGGACTGGAACTCTTACATGACCTAACAATAATGAACTTTTAGTTTCTGTGTGCTGGTTTTAACCCTATAGAAGCTTCTTTTTAGTAAACCTTTAATATGTGGAATCCAAATCTCAGCTACTAACTCATGGAGGGACTCACTAAGAGACTTCTGGACCTTTTCTCTGCATAGCTTTCTCCTCTCTGGTGTCTAGTGTCATGGGTTCCAGTTGCTTGAGCCACTGTGAAATCTGACCTCTGCCTCATCAGCTCAGTGGAACTGTCTTGGCCTCCAGGATGCTGGACTGTAGTTGGCGAAGAGTTGCACAGGCAGAGAGCTGCAGTAATCATGGGGTTCACCTCATAAATATTGACACCTACAGGGATTGCAGTCTGTGTTTCTTGTTGTCAAATACCTGAAAAGAGTTGCTTCATATAATTTTCACACTTCTATTGTTACAGTGAAAGGGCTGTTTTCATACTTGTTACTTCATCATAGACAAAAGTAGCTCGGTAACATTTTCATTTTTCCTTTTATCTCTGGTATTAACAATTTCATAATATTATGAGATTCCTTTTATTCTTCATTATGCTGGAGCCTATCAATCTGGAAAGCCATACTCTTCACTTGTATGAATGTATTTACTTCAGAAATTTTCTCTCTTTTTTCTTTATTCTTTCTTTCTGGAACTCCTGTCATTCTGAGGTTAGACATGCTGAAATAATCCCCTACTTAAACATTTTCCTAAAAAAACGATTCTATCTCATGTATCTTCTCTGGTGTTTTTTGTTTTAATTTCTGAGAGATTTCTTCAATGTTATCTTCTAAATTAAGAATTTGATTCCTTTAAATTTCTGCTCTCATATATTTAATTTCTAAGATCTATTTATTACGCTCTGTTCCATTTTTAGTGAAAACTTTTATTTAGTTATGGATAATATGTCTTCTCTTATCTCTGAAAACACTAAGGGCAATTTTACATTAAGTGAGTGTTTTCTAGTGTAAAATTTTACTCCTTAAATGATGTTTTCACATTATGCCTGATAATTTTTTTTAGTGATTGCTCTAGGGCTTACTCTGTATATTTTAACTCATCAGAATGTACTTCAAATGTACGCTAATTTAATTACACTGATACATAGAACTGTTTCTCCTATATAACTGTGTTTTTCCTTTTTTGTCCTATAAATAATATACCTATAAGAAATCTATATGTTAGAAATCCGAGAATACATTGCTTTACCACTTTATATGATTTTATGTAACATAAAGAGGTTGAGAGAAGAAAACAGAAAATTATATATTTCTGGAATATGTTTTCTTAACTTTATTATTTCTAGTTCTCTTTATTTGTTCCTATGGATTTGAGTTACCATGTGGTTTCAATTCCTTACTATAACTTTGCATCTACTGCCTCCTTTGTGCTGTTTTTGTCAAATATATTACATTTTAAGTGTTGCACACTATGTACATATAATTGTATACAAATTGCTTTAAGTCAGTTAAAAGGAGAGGAAATACGTACTTCTATTGTCTTTGATATTTACATAATTACCTTAACCTAGTGTTCTTTGGTATTTTGTATGGATTTGAATTACTGTCTGTGTCACTTGCTTTCAGCCTGAAGAAATTCCTTCAGTATTTTTTGTAAGTCCGATCTCTTAACAAGAAATTCTCTGTGTGTTTGTTTATAAGAAAATGTAATTATTTTGTCTCCTTTTTAAATTATTATTCTTGCGGCTACATACTAGCTGCATATATTTATGGGGTACATGAGATATTATTATACAGGCATACAATGTGTGATAACATCAGTATAAATGGTATATCCATCATCTCAACCAATTACCCTATTTTGCGTTACAAACAATGCAATTGTCCTCTTTTAAATATACAATAAATTTTTGATTGAACTCACACTGTGGGCTATGAAGTATTAGATCTTATTCTTGCTAACTATATATTTGTACCCACTAAACCTCCCCAATTCCCCTCCTCCTACTACCAATCCCAGCTTCTGGTAACCATCATTCTACTCTATCTCTGTGAGTTCAATTGTTTTGATTGTTTTAGCTCCTACAAATAAGTGAGAACATGTGAAGATTGTATTTCTGTGCCTGGCTTATTTTAATATAATGACCTCCAATTCCTATAGAGTTGTTCGAGCTCTTTCTATAATCTGGTTATTAATCCCTCGTCAGATGGGTAGCTTGCAGATATTCTCTACCATTTTGTGTGTTGTCTCTCCACTTTGATTGTTTCCTTTGCTTTGCAGTAACGTTCTAACTTGATGTGATCCCATTTGTCAATTATTGCTTTGATTGCCTGTGCTTGTGGGGTATTACTCAAGAAATCATTGTTCGGTCCAATCTCCTCAAGAATTTCTCCAATGTTGTCTTGTAGTATTTTCAGGATTGAGGTCTTAAATTTAAGACTTTAACACATTGATTTGATTTTGGTATATGGTGCGAGATAAGGGCCTAGTTTCATTCTTTGGCATATGGATATCCAGTTTTCTTAGTACCATTTATTGAAGACCATCTTTTCCCCAGGGTGTGTTCTTGGCACCTTCATTGAAAATGAGTTCACTGTAGATGTCTGTATTTATTCCTGAGTTCTCTATTCTGTTCCATTGGTCTATGTGTCTACTTTTATGCCAGTTATATGCTGTTTGGGTTACTATAGCTCTGTAGCATAATTTGAATTCAGGTAATTAGATTTCTTCGGTTTTGCTATTGTTGCTTAGGATAGCATTGGCTATTCTGGGTCTTTTGTGGTTTCTTATAAATTTTAGGATTTTTTTTCTATTTCTGTGAAGAATGTCAATGGTATTTGGAGAGGGATTGCATTGAACTTTTAGACTGCTTTGGGTAGTATGTACATTTTAACAATATTGATGTTTCCAATCCATGAGCATAAAATATATTTCCATTTTTTTCATGTCCTCTTCAATATTTTAGCATTAACCTTTCATAGTTTTCATTGTAGATATGTTTAACTTATTTGGTTAAGTTTTATTTCTAGGGATATTATTTTATTTGTAGCTGTTATAAACGGTATTACTTTCTTGAATTATTTTTCAGAACGTTCACTGTTGTTATATGAAAATGCTACTCATTTCTGTATGTAGATTTGTATCCTGCAACTTTACTGAATTTATTCATCAGTTCTAATAGATTTTTGGTGGAGTTTTTAGATTTTTCCAAATAAAAGCTCACATAATTTGCAAACAAGGATAACTGGATAACTTGACGCTTCCCTTCCAATTTGAGTGCCCTTTATATATTTCTCTTGTTTGATTGCTCTAGCTAGGACTTCCAATACTATGCTGAATAAAAGTGGTGAAAGTGGGCATCCTTGTCATGTTCCAAATATTAGAGGAAAGGCTTTTAGTTTTTTCTCATTCAGTATAATACGAGCTGTAGGTCTGTCATATATGGCATTTATTGTGTTGAGGTATCTTTCTTCTATATCCAGTATTTTTATTTTTTTAATCATGAAGGGACGTTCTATTTTATCAAATGATTTTTCACTATAAGTTGAAATGATCATATTGCTTTGTCCTTCATTCTGGTGATACGATATATCATATTGATTGATTTTTATATGTTGACCCATCCCTGCATCCCTGGGATAAATCCCACTGGGTCATGATGATTGATATATTTAATGTGTTGTTAAATTTGGTTTGCTAGTATTTTGTTGTGGATTTTTGCATTAATATTAATCAAATTTATTTTTATTATCGGTAAGTAAGAACTTACTTCTGTCACTTAGATTTTTTTTTCTGGTTGTTTTGTAGTCTTCTCTTCCTCTTTTCTTCCTTCCTGTCTTCCCTTTAGTGAACATGATTTTCTCTGTTGGTATGTTTTAATTTCTTACTTTTGTGTGTGTGTGTTTATGTTATATATATTTATTTATTTTAGGTTACCATAAGGCTTTCAAATAATATGTCATAACCCATTATTTTGAACTGATAATAACTTAATGCTGATTACATAAACAGAAAAACTTACAAACAAAGTAAACCCAAATAAAGACATTACCCTTCAAGCTCATCCCCTTGGTTACTAACTTTTTGTTGTTTCTATTTATATTTTTTATACTATCTATGTCTTAAAAAGTTGTTGTAGTTATTGCTTTTGATAGTTTCACCTTTTAGGTTTTCTACTCATGATAGTAGTAGCATATATATCACAATTACAATGTTATAATATTCTGTTGTTTTTCTGTGTATTTACTGTTACCAGTGACCTTTGTCCCTACTGATGATTTGTTATTGCTCATTAAACTTCTTCTTTTTTTCTTTTTTAACAGACTGAAGCACTCTCTGTAGAATTTCTTGTAGGACAGATCTGGTGTTGATAAAATCCTCAGCAAATTTTGTTTTGAGGGGGACTGTCTTTATTTCTCTTTCATGTTTAAAGGATATTTTCCCTCAACATATTGTTCTAGGATACAACTTTTTCTCCTTCAGCACTTTAAATATGTCACGCCACTCTCTCCTGGCTCATTGGGTCTCCACTGAAGTCTGCTGCCATGCGTACTGGAGCTCCGTTGTATGTATAGATCTTATATACATGCTTCATTCTTTTTGTTCTTTTGACTCCTCTGACTGTGTATTTTCAAATAGCCTGTCTTCAAGTTCACTAATTCTTTCTTCTGTTTGATCATTTCTGCTATTAAGGGACTCTGATGCATTATTCAACTCTAGAATTCTGTCTAATTCTTTTTAATTACTGTAATCTCTTTGTTAAATTTTTCTGATAGGATTCTGAATTCCTTCTCTGTGTCATGTTGAATTTTGTTGAGTTTCCTCAAGGCAGCTCTTTTGAATTCTCTGAAAGTTTACGTATCTCTGTCTCTCTCGAATATTAGTTCAATTGATGTCTCTCTCAATTATGAAGACAGTTTGAATATGAAATTCTTGATTGAATGTTTCTTTCTCTTATAACACTTTAAATACGTCATCTCACTGCCTCCTGGTCTCCATTGGTTCTCATGAGAAGTTAGCAAAAAATCTTATTATGATTCTCCTGTATACACATGTTGTATTTTTCTTTTGCTGCTTCAAGGATTTGCTCTTTGTATCTGGTATTCAATATTTTTCCGTAAAGTTTCTGTGTCTGGATCTTCTGAAAGTAAAATAAATTTGGGGGCCCCAAATCACTAAGCTAATGGGAAAAGTCAATCTGGGAACTACTTAGGGCCAACCTGTCTCCCATTCTATTCAAAGAAATCCCTCTGCTCACTGAGATAAATGCATATCTGACTGCCTCCTTTGGAGAGGCTAATTAGAAACTCAAAAGAATTTAACCATTTGTCTATTTACCTATGACCTGGAAGCCTCCTGCCTGCTTGAGTCTTTCTGCCTTTGCTTCAAGTTGTCCCACCTTTTCATTGTACTTATATTGATTGATGTCTCATGTCTCCCAGAATGTATAAAACCAAACTGTGCTCTGACCCCCTTGGTGAGATGTCATCAGGGCAACCTGAGGCTTAGTCACAGGCATGCATCCTTAACCCTGGCAAAATAAACTTTTGAAATTAACTGAAACCTTTCTCAGATTTATGGGTTCACAATCTGCATTTATCCTCTTGGAGTTTTCTGAGTTTCCTCCATTTGTAGATTAATGACTTTTTTTTAATTAATTTTTTTAGCTATTATTTTTTGTATAATTTTTTCCACTTCTTTTTCTCTCCCCTTCTTTGTATTATTCTCCTTACACATATGATGGTGTACTTAATGGTGTCCTACATTTTCCTGAGTCTTTCATAACTTCTCTTCATTCTATTTTCTCCCCTCTGTTGTTTGGATTGCATAATCTCTGTTAATTTATCTTCAAGTTCACTAATTTTTTATTCTTCCAATTCAATTTTTCTATTAAGCCCCATCTAGTAAATTTTTAATTTCAGTTATTATACTTTTCAACTCTTAAATTTGTTTTTGCTTTTATAATTTCTATGTCCGTAATTGTCATTATGCCTTCCATTTCTTATTTAAACATGGTTTTCTTTGGTTCTGGGAACATGTGTATAATGGTTGCTAGAAGTGTTTGTTAAAAACAACATGTATGCCATTTCACAGGCTGTTTCTATTGTCTATTTTTTCCCCGTGTCTGTATCACACTTTCCTATTTATTGGCATATCTCATAATACTTTGTTGAAATTTGGATATTTTTCATAAAACATTATAGCCAGTTTTGACACTTATCCACACCTCCACCTGCTTGGTTTGTTGTTGTTGTTGTTTTTTGCTTATTTATTTGTTTAGTGACTTATCTGGGCTATTTTAGTGAAGTCTGTTTTCTTTTCAGTCTGAATCCTCTGATGTTGCTCCTCAAAATGGGAACTTTGGCCATGCATAATTTTACCCTGGGATGAGAGTGTTATTATCAGGGCTGTCTTGGCCTGTGTCTTTCCCCTGTCTCTTTGTTAAGCTGTCTGTTTAGGCATCACAGTCAGCTGTTAAGCAATACAAATTGCCACTGATTACTCTTTTGTTTTCAATAATGCTGTGAAGCATAAACTGCTACTCAGTGTAATACAGTTAAATTCAGGACACTTTGCAGTGGTAGTCTTTGAAAACAGTCTTGAAATTTTGTTCTGACCCATGGAGGGCTCTTCTTAGTTGCCTCTTTCCTGAGACCTCTCTGATAAACTAACTGGCCTACAGTTTAGCTTGTTGTTTTCATGAAGATGCCATTATGCTTCTTCATTGTTTACCAGCAGAATTTGCATCTTTTTCAAGCCCTTTTAGCCTTGAACTTCCTCACATGTTTCCAACAAAATCTCTTATCTTGAAAAGAGCTCCAGAGATCTCTGTTATGATTTGCCTCTCTTCCGGGCAATATCTCTGTGCCACTAGTCCAAATCTGGGGATGGGGACAATGGCCTTCTTGTCTCAAAGTGACATGCCTGTTTTTGATCAGTGAGCTAAGTAGAGGTGGTAGCTTCTAGTTTTCCTGACTTTCCCATTACTGTGCAACATCTGTCCTACAAGTAAGCTTAGGATTGTATCATCTTAAAAAAAGATGCCAACATCTTTTTTTAAAAAAAGACTAAATAGTATTCTGTTGTGTATACACCCCACTTTCTGCATCCATTCATCTGTTGATGGGACTTAGGTTGATTGCATATCTTGGCTATTGTGAATAATGCTGCAATGAACATGAGAGTGCAGATGCCCCCTTAACAAGTCGATATCAGTTTCTTTGGATATATACCCAGAAGTGGGATTACTGGATTATATGGTAGTTGTTGTTGTTGTTTTTTTTTTTTTTTTTTTTTTTTTTTTTTTTTTTTTTTTTTTTTTTTGAGAAACTTTCATACTATTTCCCATAACAGCCCTATTAATTCACATTACCACCAACAGTGAGCAAGGGTTCCCTTTCTGGGCTTCCTTTGCATTTTTCAGATAATTAGTGTGAACCCCAAATATCTGCAGGTCTCAGTCAATTTAGAAAGTGTATTTTGCCAAGGTTAAGAACACACCTGTGACACAGACTCAGACATGTGTTCAAGGTGGTTGGGGGTACAGTGTGCTTTTATACATTTTAGAGAGACATGAGAGATCAATCAATACGTGTAAGATGTGCATTGGTTCCAGCCTCAATACGTGTAAGATGTGCATTGGTTCCAGCCGGTAAGGCAGGACAACTTAAAGTGAGGGCTTCCAGGTTAGAAGCAGATAACAGACAAAAGGGTTGCATTCTTTTGAGTCCTTGATCAGCCTTCCACTGCTTACACAATTTAGCCTGGCTCAGTGAATCTGCATTTTTATATAAACGATAGGAGAGAGGAAGCAATCAGATATGCATTTGTCTCAGGTGAGCCTCAGAGGGATGACTTTGAATAGAATGAGAGGCAGGTTTGCCCTAAGCAGTTTCCAGCTTGACTTTTCCCTTTAGCTTAGTGACTTTGGGGTCCCAAAATTTATTTTCCTTTCACATTAGTGATGTTGAGCATTTTCTCATATACCTATTGGCTATATGTGTGTCTTCTTTTGAGACATGCCTATTTAAATTAAAGAGATATAATATTTTTTAAAACCAAGCAAAAACAAAGTACTTTTCCTACTCTCACTACCTAAGTAATACACCTCAGATATCAAATGTGTGTTTTTTTCCCCCACACTAAGCAAACAATTCTCCAAAGACACCAGATAGGTATCCTTTAATTCAATTCAATTATTATACTATCTACCTGGAGATAGCATCAGATTCCACAGATTAAAGGTTCAGTTCCACAAGACTGCCCCGCCCTCCACTTCAAATGCTAATCACAAGTAGTAGGTTGTCATCTACATTTTTGACTGACTGTCTATAAACCAGAGTTACCATAACCCATTCTCGGGTTCAATGAATTTGCCAGAGGTTCTTACAGAACTCAGGGAAATGTGCGACTTACATTTAGCCATTTATCATAAAATACATTACAAAAGATACAAATGAACGCCTAGATAGAAGAGATGCCTAGCACAAGGTATGAGAGAAGGCTCATGGAGCTTTCATACCCTCTCCCACGTGCCACTCTCCAGGAATACCCACATGTTCAGTTATCTGGAAGCTCATTCTATTCTTGTCCTTTTGAGTTTTTATGGAGGCTTCATCGTGTAGGCATGATTGATTACATTATTAGCCATCGGTAATCAAGTCAACTTTCTGCCCTCCCTAGAGGTCAGAGAGTGGGGCTCAAAGTTCTAATCCTCTAATTACAGGAATGGTTTCCCTGGCAACCAACCCCCATCTTAAGGCTACCCAGGAACTCACCAAAAGTCATCTCATTAGAAGAAAAGATGCTCTAATCACCTAGGAAATCTCAAAGCTTTTAGCAGCTCTGTGTCAGAAACTGGAAGTCAAAGATCGAATGTCAGAACAAAAGATTTGCCTAGCACCCCAACCTGCAAGGGAATATTACAATTTCTGTCTCAGGAACTGGGGCAGAGGCCAAATACTAGACTAAAAGATGCTCTTAGAATCCCATCACTCAGTAAATTACGAGGCATTTAAGAGCTCTGTTCCAGGCACTGGGTGAATAGACTAATATTTATATTTCTTATTATTTCATACAGGTCTTTTGCCCATTCGTTAACCAGGTTATTTGCTTTCTTGCTATTGAGTTGAGTTGCTGAATATTTTGGATATTAACTTTTTGTTAGATATATGGTTTGCAAATATTTTCTGCCATTCAAAAGTTGCCTTTTCACTCATGAAAAGGCAACTTTTGTATCCTTTGATGTGCAGAAACTTGTAGTTTCTCTTATCTACGTTTCCTTTTGTTGCATGTGCTTTTGGTGTCATATCAATCAATTAAGGCCAACACCAATGCCATTAAGGTCTTCACCTATGTTTTGTTCTAGGAGATTTGCAGTTTCATGTCTTGTTTTTAAGTCTTAAATTTATTTTGAGTTGAATTTTGTGTATGTTTTAAGATATGGGTCCAATTTTATTTTTTTGCATCTGGAAATCAGGTTTTCCCAATACCATGTGGATATCCACTTTTCCCAAAACCATTTTTTGAAGAGACTATGCTTTTAATTTTTGATCACAGAATGTTTTTCATTTGTGTCTCCTTTATTTTTTGTGATGTTTCAGTTTCCAGAATATAATTCTTTTGCTTCCATAATTAGGTTTATTACTATTTTATTATTTTTGGTGCCACTGTAAATGGGGTTGTGTTCTCTTTTGTTTGAATTATAAATAATTCGATTTTAAATATGTATCATATAGATTATATATCTTATATGTTATACATAGTTATACAGATTATATATCATATCTTGTATGTTATAATTATACATACATTATATGAATCTATACGTATCTATATATCATATACTATATATAGACATCTATAACATATAGATAGATGTTTTGTTTGGATAGAAATTTATTTTCTA